>NC_000002.12:22055209-22206725 GCF_000001405.40 Homo sapiens | reverse complement strand
AAGGAATATCATGGTAATCTCCTGAGCAACAAATCTGTCTAAATGTTACTAAAGTGTCAAGTCCCTGAATCTTTGTAGGATTTGGTTTTCTTCTTTGAAATGCACATATCCTACAAAGGCCTCCACAGTTTTAGCCATTTCTTTCTTATCTTGCCAACTCAGCATGATGTCATTGGTGTAATGCAGCAGGATGATACTCTTTGATATGTCCAGGTGGTCTAGATCTCTTAGGACTATGTTGTGACAGAAGGCAAGAGACTTAACATAGTCCTGAGGCATAATTGTAAATAAATATTGTTCTGTACCACAGGAATGCAAACTGTTTCTTATCCTCTTAACTAATTTAAATGGAAAAGAACACATTTGCCAAATCAATGGCTATATACCACATACCTGAGGTCTTATTAATCTGTTTCAGCAATGATACCACATCCAGTGCTGCAGCTGCAACTGGGGCTACTGCTTAATTAAGTCTATCATAGAACACAGTCATTCTCCATGATTCATCCAGTTTCTACAGAGGCCAGATTATTGAATTAAATGAAGACATAAATGGAATCAGCACAGCTGTATATTTTGGGTCTTTAAAGGTTGAACTAATCTCTGCCATCTCCTCCAGAATATATTAATACAACATTATTTAAAAATTTTATAAATGCAAAATTCACAAAACATAAGTTAATCATTTAAAAACAAATAATTAAATAGCATTCAGTATATTCACAATAATGTGCAAGCAACACATCTAGTTTAATACATTCCTAAGACTCCAAGTTAAAATATATTAAGCAGTTTCTTCTCATTTTACCTTCTCCCTCAACTCCTGGTAAGCAACAATGTGTGTTCTGTCTCTGTGGATTTATCTATAATGTATATTTCATATAAATAGAATCATAGAATATGTGACCTTAAGTGTCGGAGGTTTACTCCTGTTGCAGTATGTACTTCATTCCTCTATTATGGCTGAATAATATTCCATTGTTTGTATATGACACAACTGATTTATCCACGTGTCTATGGTTGGACATGTGGGTTGGTTTTACCCTTTGATTATTGCGAATAGTGTTCCTATAAACATGAATATATATGTATTTGTATGAGTGTCTATTTTCAATTTGGGGGTATATACCTAGGGGTAGAATTTCAGAGTCATATGGCAATACCATTTTTAATTTTTGAGGAACCACCTAACCCTTTTCCACAGCAGATTAATCATTTTGCATTCCCACTGTCAATGTACAAGAGTTCCAATTCCTCTACACCCTTGCCAATACATATTTTTCATTTTATTTATGACACCCTAGTGGATGTGAAGTGGTATCTCTTTGTAGCTTTGATTTGCATTTCTTTAATGACTAATAATGTTGAACATCTTTTTATGTGCTTATTGGACCTTTGAATATCTTCTTTGGAGATATGTCCAGTCAAGCCTGTAGCTCATTTCTAAATTGGATTGTTTGTTTGTTGTTGAGTTGAAAGAGTTCTTCATATATTTTAGATACTAGTGCTTATTAGATATAAGATTTGCTATTTTTTTCTTGCATTCTATAAATCGTCTTCTCACTCTTGATATTTTTTGATGCACAATGTTTTTAATTTCAATGAGGTCCAACTTGTCTGTTTTTTTTTTTTTTTGTCTGTTTGTTTTTGGTATCATGAGTTCATTACCTAATCCAAAGTCATGAAGAATGACCTTTACATTTGCTTCGAATAATTTTATAGTTTTAGCTTTAATAAGTAAGCTGCTGATCCATTTTAAGTTAATTTTTGCATATAATAAGATAGGATATCTAGTTTTTCTAGCACCATTTGTTGAAGAACTATTTTTTCCTAATTGAATTCTGATACCTAGTCAAAAATCAGTTAGCCATAGATATGTGGTGTGTTAGTTTTCAAGGACTGCAGTAACAAAATACCATGAACTTGGTGGCTTTATAACATGAGAAATTTACTGTCTCATAGTTCTGGAGCTAGACATCTTAAATCAAGGTGTTGGCAGGGCCATAGTTCCTCTAAAGCTATATAGGAATCCTACATTGACTTTCTCCAGCTTCTGGTGGTTTGCTGGCCATCATTGGCATTCCTTGGTTGCAGCTGCATAACTCCAATCTCTGTCTTCATCACTACTTGGTGTTCAGACATGGTTTACAGACACACATGGTTCTCTGTGTGTCTGTGTTTTCATATGGTTGTCTTATAGGAATAATAGTTGTATTGGATTAGGGTCCTACACTACTCCAGTATGACCTCATCTTAACTATATCTGCAGTAACACTATGATATGATTTAGCTGTTTCTCCATGGAAATCTCATCTTGAACTATAATCCTCATGATCCCCAGGTGTCTAGGGAGAGATCTGGTGGGAGGTGATTGGATTATGGGGGTGGTTTCCCCATACTGTTCTTACGATAGTAAGTTCTCACAAGATCTGATGGTTTTATAAGAGGCACTTCCCTCTTCACTCCACAATCTTCTTTCTCTTGCCTGCCACCATGTAAGATGTGCCTCTTCCCCTTCCGTCATGATTGTAAGTTTCCTGAGGACTCCTAATCTCCACCTAACTGTGAATAAATTAAACCTCTTTTCTTTATAAATTACCCCATCTCAGGTATGTTTTTATAGCAGTGAATGGATTAATATACCCTATTTCCAAAAAAATGACCTTCTGAGGAATTGGGGACTAGTACTTTAACATATTTTTCTTTATTATGGAAGGACACAACAAAACTCATAACATATAGGCTTATTTCTGGACATTCTTTCTTATTATATTGGTCTATATGACTATCCTTATGCTAGTATCATAGTGTTTTGGTGAATTTACTGTGAATCCTCTGTCTTTGTTTTTATTTTTTTAAGATTATTTGGCTGTTCAGGGGCTCTCACAATTACACATGAGTTTGATGTTTGGCTTTTTTATTTCTGCAAAGTGACTGCTGGAATTTTGATAGGGATTTTATTGATCCTGTAGAATACTTTGAGTAATGTTATCTTAACAATATTAAGTCATCCAATCTATGAAAATGAGATGTCTTATGATTTATTTAGTTATTCTTTAACTTCTTTCAAAAGTGTTTTTAGTGTACAAGTCTTTCACGTCCTTGCATATTCGTGGGCATTTTATTCTTTTGGATGATATAGTAAATGACATTACTTTCTAAATTTCCTTTATAGAGTGTCTATTACTATTGTGTAGAACACAAATGAGATTTTGTGTGTGTGTGTGTGTGTTGACCTTATATCTTGCAACATTGCTGAATTTATTGACTAGCTCTAATAGTAATTCTATGGATTCTTTGGACTCTTTTTTTCTATATAGAATGATGTCATCTCTGAATACACATAAAAATTTTACTTCTTCCTCCCCAATTTAGAGGCATCTGTTTAAATTTCTTGTCTAATTTTTTTTTACTAGAATGGGGTACAGTGTTGGATATCAGTGATGAAAGTAGACATTCTTGTCTTGTTCCTCATATTAGGGGGAAATATTTTAATCTTTTACCATTGAGTATGACATCAACTGTGAGTACAGTACTGCTTTTGTTACACTATCTTAGGTGTAGAAGAGCTTTTTCATAGCTTTTCATTTGACCCTTACCTCTATGACAGTTATTAATCCACAGACCAGGGACCCAATGTATAAGTCACTCTACCATGTTTCTAAATCTCAGTTAAGCATTGGAGTCTGGGAAAATGATTGTTGGGTGGGCCTGAAGGTAGACAAGTGAGCCCACTGTGAGATAGAATTGAGGCAGAACCTCAGTTGTTATCGTAAAGCTCTCACTTTAACTGAAGATTCATGACACTTTACATCTCAAAGTAGTAGGGATACAAGATTATTTATGGGATACATTTAAATGTGTATTTTAGATAAATAACTTTTAAGTATATGTATGTCCCATGCAAATTTGGGGACATAGGTATACTAAATAAATTATATGTTCTTTTGAAATGCAATTTTAACTAAGCAGTTTATATATTTATTAAGTCTGAGGGAATCAACACAGCAATTACTTGTCATGGAACTGTGGAGTCCTTCATCATAGGGATGGGGCTAGCTACCTTTCAGCCAATGGGTTCCAAATCTGAAAATCACTGGGGTAACAATCCTCAACCACTTATTTCTCCTTCTTGCTTTTTTTTTTTCAGTTAGGTATTATATATATTAAGCAGCATCCCCGTTGAGTGTCCATTTATTTTGCCCTTGGAAGCACAATGTTGTATTAACCATATTTCTAACTCCCAATGAAAAATCTCCATAGCTGTTCATGTGATCTTGCCAGTCATCATGAGAATTGCAACCTTCTGGGTTCTGGTGATCAAGGGACACCATCTATTACTTCAGAGCTTCATAATCATCATAGATGTTAATGAACATAGCTATGTAATCACTTCTCTGACCATCACCTTTGTGTCTGCAGAGAGCCACACCTTAACTTTTTAGTAATTCTGGTGCTCCTCAAAAGCATCCTTTTGGCCTTGTGAATGATGTGTCTTCTAGCCCTCTTTGGAAACACAATTTTCTGGTGAGTGTTTTGGCTTTACATAATATATCCATTCTAATATTATACTTCCCTCAGCCAGTTTATTCTTGTCTCTAATATCTTGAGTATCTGCTTGAGCAACTTAAACTTTTCTACCTCCAGGTTCATCTGTCTATGCTTTTTGTCCAGTCTCCATTTTAGATAAATATCTCCTTGAGAAGAACCCGGTTATTTTTGTAACTTCAGCCCTTGACATGGTGACTTTCACATAAGCTTTCTTTATATCTCTCCAAACTTAGTTAAAAATTATGCCTAGTTTTATCGTAATATGGAGTGACTCAAGATCATTACCACTTTTGAATGTCCTTAAAATCACCTTTTTATTCTTTAATATTAAAAATAATAAGAGTCTGGCCCGTTCACATATATTTCTAACTATAAAAGTTTTTCAAAGGGATAATTGCAAATTTCTAAGGTGTCTGATTTATTAGGATTTTAACATCTCAGGTCTAGAAATAGATCTAGAATCTCACTTTCCTACTTCTACCAGTGCAGGATTCCTTTGGGCACTGCTCCCCACAGCTGACAGTTGTACTTGCATTTTCCCAGTGACAAGAAAAACAGTTCTTCAAAAGGCTCATGTTGTGTGGTTAGATATTATTAATTGTTACAACACTTTTTCTTAAAATGAGACAAACTTTAACATATTGCAACTTTATGCTATTCAACCTAGTTTTGCTCTTTAAAGTTATACTGCATGAGGATATTCGTTTTCTTTATGGTAGTGCTTCAGATGTAGAACAACTGTCACAATGGCTTTCCTGTGTACCCACATTAAGTCATTATCTTACCAATAGCTCCTCCTCATTTCTAGTTGGGATTTAAATATTTCACCCTCCAGATTACCCTTCTCTAACAAAACTTCAGTTGTCAATATTCTTAAAATGTAGGACTGCAAATAAGACACAATAAATACTCAGCTATAACAAAAACAAAGAAAAGTCATTATTTGTACATCTTGACTTTATTAACAAAGCCCTAGTTGCCATCTTATTTTTAGCAAGCCTCCCTTAAATCAAGTCCCATCAAGAAACTGTCATTTATTTCTACAGAATTGACATTACCAACCCCTATGGAGAGCTCCAAGTCTCTACATGCAAATTAAGGCGATAGTTCCCATTCTGAAGTATATTATTGGGGTTTCCAAGTCCACACAAGAAATCTTGCAATACCTTACAAGGAAAATGTATCACCTTAACATCTGTTTGCATAAATCACATTATATCTTGTCTTGAAATGGACCCTAATCTTGTGTCAACTTCTAATTTGTTCTTTTAGAATATTGTATTGGCTTATCTTCACTCTGTATCTAACCAAGATAGTAGATTGTCATTGCTAATGTCCTCATACTTTTCTCCAACCAGAATTTCTTTGTAGTTCATACAGTGTGTGTGTGTGTGTGTGTGTGTGTGTGTGTGTGTTTGTGAAGAGAGATAATGTGTTAGCCTATAGAGACAAATATAATTTCTATATGTAGTTACAAACACCTATAAAATGAGACTACATGGAACTTCTTCAAAATACACATGAAAAGTTTTATATTTTGTTTCCTATCTGGTTGTAGGTCCTTAAAAAGCAAAATGATTATTTTTATGCTTATTTTGGATGAGGCTTGAGGCCTAACAGTTGTGATGTCTCTCAAAGACATAACTGATAGTTTTAGGAGAATATGAACTCAAACATACTAAAGAAACAGCAGTGAGTGGAATTAGACATTGGACAGCTTTGGAGGATTAATTTCTCAGAAATTCTCAGATGCTTCTTGTTGTCTGTTCTTATCTGCAGAAGACTTGAACAGAATTACTCCAATCTTTTGCAAGAATACTGAGAGTGAATCAGCATTTGAGTAATGTATGTCATCATCAATATAAAATAATAAAGAATATACAGAAAATCAGCTTAGGGCAGTGTAAAGCTTATTTTCTGTAAGGATGTGATAAGAAGCAGAGGGAGTCCTTCCTGTATGATATATCAAGGTGATAATGTGCCCCATTAAGACAATTTGTTTTATATTTCTTAAAATAGATATGACTAAGGAAATGACAGATGGAGGTCAGGAAAAAATTCATGAAGTCCTTCACCTTATATTCATAAATCAATGACTTGGTCCCAAAGAGTTGGCTAAAAATACATTTCTCTTTCAAATGAAGGAGATTAGGTTATGAAAAGAAGAATGTGTTGGCTGAAATAACTGAGAACATCATCTCTGTCATTAACATTATAAGATGGTGTTACATGAAACACAGAGAAAGTGAATTTTCTTCTTTCACTCATACTTTTCCAGAAACGCAAAGACTCTCTCTCTCTTTCTCTCTCTCTCCCTCTCTCTCTCTCTCTCACACACACACACACAGAGAGAGAGAGAGAGAGAGAGAGAGAAACATGGACACACACAGATGTTGACTTTATAGTTGAAGCCACATAAGTTATAGTAAAAAAAAAAAATTGGATTCAGTTAAATGTTTGACCCCAGGATGGGAGACAGTTAAAAAAAAATTTAAATGAAAATGTACCAAGTATTTTCATAGGGGAAGAATTAGAAAAAGTATTCAGAAGGGATTATGTTGAAACAATACTAATGCCTGAAAAAAATATGCTTTAGGTATTTTTCATTCTAAGAAGTCAAGACCAGCATCAATTCCCAAAATATATCAGTATATAAAATGACAATCTTGGGTTGAGAATGCAATCTTTGAAGTTCAATGTGAAATACTGATTTTTAAAAATAATTACTTTTGAGATATAACTGTAACCTTTTAAACTTATAATCAGGTACAACCTAAACTATAATGAAGGCACTTAACATGTCAGGAAACAAGGAGAAAGAGTTCAAATGGCAAGGCAGCATTGTGAATTTCTAGTGAGATTTGCACTCTTGCTTCTATTTTTCACTGCATTCCATAAGCGTCACAGAAAAAAATTACTTTAAAGAAATGCATTCTACAGCTTATCATTCATGTTAGAGAAAACTCGTTTAATGCTTTTGTTGGCCATGATACTGAAAATAAGTCTTGATTGAAGCAAGCACAGTCATATATTGAAGTACACAAATAGACACGTTTGCTCGGTTTATTCTCCGGGCCTTGCTGCAGGAATGCAAATGAGCTTTTCCAGACCCAGTTTCAAGCTGTCAAGTGACAAAAGAGGGAGGGGGCAGGAAAAAAATCGATTCAGTTAACCTAGCACAGAAGTCTACAGATTAATTACATTAAAGAAACTGAAAACAATGTGTTTTGGAGTTGGCAACTTGAAAGATTGGTGCCTGCAATACTCCTTAATATTATATAAACAAATGGAGCCTAATCAATTGCAAAAACAGCAGTCACCATACCTGTAAAAGCTGTTGAGCGAGGTTCTTTGCTTTGTTTTCAAATAAATGAAGTGGGTACTGAAGACAGGAGCCCTTTTGCAGCTGCAGGCAGGATTTATATATTGCTTACTGAATGGTGACAGATTGGCATTGTGACTTCAAATGCCAAGTAGGCATCACTACACCTATTTTTTCTACTGTGATTCTAGAATCCTAGGAATACAAAAGTAACTAGGTAGGCCTACATTTTGCTATGCCTACATTTTGCAAGAGAGACACGATCTCTGAGCCTTCTAAGTATGTGGGATGTCGTCTTTATTGTCTTTGGTTCACTTGAATAGATTAAACCCAGTTTAATACCCAGTTGTTAACAGTGACTAATTCAGTACACTGAAACAATTCTTAAAGATTATTTTGATTCTTTACCCAACTTTGACTCAAATATTGGGCAATTTACTTGTCTATCAGCCACTGGATGCTGACTGAAGATCCAAGGAAGGTTAGCTCTGTGAGCTAGAATTAAAAAGAAAGATAAAGTAGAGTTGTTTGAAATTCAATGGAAAAGACCTTAAAGTAGGGAACTTTAGAGAAAGGCAGCCCAGCTTCAGGCAAAGTAGCAAAGTCTGTCCTATGGAAGACAGAGAATCTCTGAAAATAACTGATGTCTTTGAATTTAGCTACAGTATACAAACCTTCAATACGTTTTTAGTAATTTAAAATATGTATAATACATATTCAAATATATATTCAATATATATACTTGAATCTGAATATAAGGAAGACCCAGAGGAAAGCAAAAATGATATGAAATGCATTGAAATGGCAGATACTCACCAATTGGCAGCAAGGAGCTATGATAAATGAAAGGAGAGGAGAATAGGAGAGGATAGGTTAATTTGCTTGACATGAAATGTAAGGAAGAGAAATTTGTTTTTTTGTAATTTTAGCTGAGATCACTGATTTTGCACAGAAAAGATTGAGGTTTTGTTGAGAAACACTAAAGAGAAGATAGCTTTATGAGATTATTTTGATTATTGTGAAATTAGAAACTAGAAGGTAGAATATAGCAATGCATTGGAAGTATAAATACTTTGAGGACTTTTCCCTGCTTGTAGCTAAAAGTTAAATAGATATCTTTATACTACAGCTAAATATAAAATGTTGGCTAAACTCTGCAGCCATATATAACAAAGAACAGATCATCAGAATTCGTATTTTTGCCCAATGATGATATTCTTTTATTATATTAAAAATATATTAAGTTTATTACTGACCAAGAATAAGCAAAATTATATGTTTTGTGGTGCAGACATAATTACTTAACATGTCTATGTTGTGTAATCTCAGGTTCATTTTATTAGTAAATATGCTTCAAGCCTCTGCAGTCCACAAAGTTTCTATGAAAAAGTTTGAATATGTTTTCCCTAATGCATAGTAATATCTTTGTTTTGATTAATTGCCATGTTGCATTTGTCAAATATGGGTCTAAGACAGATTTTTTTTATCAGACTCATCTTCTCACCACTATTTGGTAATGTGTATCTAGAAAATAAACACACATGTTATAAACAAAATTCACTGTAAAGTATTTGCCCATTAAGTTGCATCGATGAATATGCAAAATATACTGAGTAACTAAACAAAATGCAGATGTAAAAATTTCTATATAGATTTGTACATACATTTATATATATATATATACACACACACACACATACATACGTATATACATTTAGATGTGAAGACTGACTTATTCTTAAAAAATAATTTTTTTCTCAAAGCCAAGTTACAGTACTTTGTTAGACGAAAGCATTAAATTATTCTTATCTTATGCATTGCCATCTGGCATACTTGTACTTTTTTGTGAATTACAGAAAAAGCAATTCAAAGCCAGACATTAAATAGACCCATAAGTAATTATCCACATGTTAAGTAGCTTCTGAAGACAGGTTTGAACACATACACTCCAAAAGGATTTTCTTAGGTTAATAGCCATAACTTTTTTCATTGAGAAAAATATTTTATAATATTATTGTATAATAATTTGGCAAACTGTTTCCATGTACATCTGCTTGAATAGTCTTATAACATGCCACATTACAAAAGTAATTATGTTCTCTGATTCATACTCATCCCTTTTTCTTTGATATTTTTCCAGGTTTTATTAATGGGAAAAGAATCCTTATAATAAAGAAAGTGTCTAAATCTTGAAAACACCCAGATGATTTTGCCATACAGACCTCAGGAGTCTGCAGATTTGGAGGGATGGTGGGTGGAGTTAATATGCTTTATTTGTGGATCAGGACTCATGTCGAGGGGGACGTGCAGATGCTGTTCTGTTAGCGTTCTGGAAAAAGATAATGATAGAAAACTGGTTCCGTTTTTGTATAGTTCTAATCTTGAGAAATATGACTTTGTATTTAAACAATACAAATACCTGCACCAGCTCCCCTGCCCTAGAGAACTTTGTAATTCTGTTTTCCACATGGCAGTCATATGTAATTTTGGTCACATTCACTTATAAATCGTTGATCTTCTTTAACACGTGGTCTCAGAATGAAACACTATCCTCCAAATATGGCCAGACCAAGTCAGAGTACAGAGGACTAGTACTTTCTGTTTTCTTAATAGAAATATTAAAATAATTCACAGACTGCATTTATCTTGTCAGGAGACATTGCCTACTGTTGTCTAAAATTTGACTTATTAAGATCAAGTTGACATTAAGGTTAAGATAAATATGACCTTGACTTACTAAGATCATGCATAGTTATTAAATTTTTTCATCTCCTCACGTACTTACACCTAAACATAGACATTTACATCCAGTCCTATTCTATTCTATTAGGTGTTTCTGATTTTAACTACTAATGAGTCTTCCTTTAAAAACAACTTAATTTTTCTGGTTATAAAAACGAAATGCTTTTACTGAAGAAAAATTTTAAAAAGCTAGGATAAAATAAAACCAAAATACCTAAGATATCATCATTTTGATTATGTGCATAACAGTTCTATATGCTTCTTTTTGCACATAAAATTACATTATTGAATGATTTAGTATTCTTTTTTATTCTGATTTTCAGGCAGGACTGAATTGTATTAAACAATATGGGTATATGATAATTAAATAGTACGTAGTTATTAAGTTGGTATTTATTGGATTTTTTGTATTATAAACAGTAAAATATAAACATCCTTATAGATAAATATTCTTAAGACAAAGAATTCTTGGATAAAAATGTGTATATATTTGGGGGAAATTTTGATGAATGTTGCCATATTAAAATTTATTTCCAAAGTAGTTTATTGCATCCCCATCAGTGTCCTCTGTGTGTGTGTGTGTGTGTGTGTGTGTGTGTGTATAATATATATATACACACACATACATATATAATATATATATATACACACACATATATGTGTATGCACAGTGTGTCCCAGGGCACAGGGGTTCATGCCTGTAATCTTTTTTTTTTTTTTTGAGACAGAGTCTTGCTCTGGGCCCAGGTTGGAGTGCAGTGGTGCAATCTTGGCTCACTGCAAGCTCCATCTCCCGGGTTCACGCCATTCTCCTGCCTCAGCCTCCCGAGTAGCTGGGACTACAGGTGCCTGCCACCATGCCTGGCTAATTTTTTGTATTTTTTTTTTTTTTAGTAGAGACAGGGTTTCACCATGTTAGCCAGGATGGTCTCGATCTCCTGACCTCGTGATCTACCCGCCTCGGCCTCCCAACATGCCTGTAACATGCATGACTTTGGCGACTGAGAAGGGAAAATTGCTTAAGCCCAGGAATTTGAGACTGCAGTGAGCTATGGTCATGCCACTGCACTTCAGCTGCACAACAAAGCAAGACCCTGACTCAGAAAAACAAAACCAAACCAAAGAACACCAAACAAAAGCCAATGACAAAAAGTAGGTCCTCACTGCAAAGTAACTACTGATCTGTGCAGTAATATAGATACTATACAGAGGTCTACGTGAAAATCTCTGGGACATTACATTTATTTTAGTTTTTATCTGTACTTTCCTCTTCCACTTTCACTAAATACGCCATTTCTTCCTTATTCTATCTTAAGTCTATAGTAACTAAAATAGTACAATAGGGAAATGAAAGGACAATGGGTGGGCAGAAAATGAAAATCAACATCAAATTAAACAGACGTGCACTCTAACCTAGACCTTTTCTTCCTTCAATGAATAAATTGCCTTACCTCAAGACCAATCCAAGAACATGGCAGCAAATTGTGCTTATGATATATCCAACACTTGTTCACTACAGTACATACTGGTTTTCTGCTAGCCACTAAAAGGAGAGGGACATGCATGCTGGTTTTGAAACCAGGTGTGCTCACTAGGTAAACTAAGGTAACTCTGTGATTTAACACTATTCATTGCTGACTTACCACAGAGAGTACCTTTGTTGCAGAGCCCTTGATTTTTACAAATTCAAATTGGAGAAAAGCCAGGAATGCAAGCAAGAGATTAGAGTTCCCAGCTCTGCCAGTTGGAGGATCCACAGACCTCAGCCTTCAATCAGGAAATTTCTAAGATTGCTATTTACAACTCTTGTTTCATAGATTCTATAAAATTGAGAACTGTCCATTCTTCCATTTAACTCACAAATTGGCAGAAATTTTCAGATCGCTCAAGCTAGTATCTGGACATCTACAACATCAAATGCAGAAAACATCTGCAGAAAACAATAGTTTCAACTTTAGACCAGTAACAATGAGGGAGATGATGAAAAGGTAAAATGGACCAGCGTGAAAATCTGTTTATCAGTCTGCATCACAAGTGGGGATGGGAAAGACCAGCACATTGAGGATCCAACGGGCTTACACATTTTACAGTTAGGACTGTGGCAACCAACATTCTTCCTCAGTTACAGGGCCACTTACTAACTCAAAAGTTTGCAGCACACCGTACCTATGGGCTGTTAAGAAAAGAATAGCTATGTGTGCAGGTGAGAGTGAGAGGTGAGGGTGGTGAATGAAAGCTTGAACAAATCTTCCTCAGCATTTCTGGGAAGTATCAGCAAATAGGTCATATCAAGGTCATCACAATAGATGAAGTGATCAAGGACCAAATCCTATTGAGAATCAATAATTAAGAACCATTTAAGGAAATAGGAGAACATCATGAAGGAAACCAAGAAGGAGCAGCCAAAGAGGTAGAAGGAAAGACAAAGTACGTGGGGCCACGGAACTCAGTGAAAGAGCATTTTTATAACAATGAGTGATTAAAAA
The DNA here is from genome assembly GCF_000001405.40 of Homo sapiens. Taxonomy (NCBI): domain Eukaryota; kingdom Metazoa; phylum Chordata; class Mammalia; order Primates; family Hominidae; genus Homo; species Homo sapiens. The sequence goes on along the minus strand of NC_000002.12, from coordinate 22,193,624 downwards.
CATCAAGAAGAAGTGTTATTGACAACAAGGAGCTCACAGAGAAGCAGAACACAATCAAGGTGTCAGGGAAACAGAGCAGGGTAAAGCTAGATTGTTGGGACATGTGAAAGACAGAGACAATTATTCCCAGATCATTTTGTGGTATTTTATTTAGGAGGAGAAATACCTGAAGCTGTTTAAATGATTATGTGATTCAATCAATATGTGATAGCAAATCTTTTCTCTATCTATGGATAACTCATTTTAATCTTTATTCTAGCTCTTGCATTTTCAAGCAGAGCAGGACTTCGGGCATTTCTCAGTTGGGGACATTTCTAAGACAAATCTCAGTTTCTTCATCTGTGAATGTGTGTCAATATACCCTTAACCAATGTTAGCTAGTGGTTTTTTCTTTGAAGACATTGCAGAAAAAGGAAAAAAATTAATGTAGCAAGGTCCCTTGGGAGATGGAAGGCTATAAACTCTAGAACTCTGGAAAATGAATTAATCTTTTGAAGGAAGTAGGACTGTCTTACACTGTGGTGAATGTAAGAGACAGAACAGGCACATTTACCTTTGGGTGTTTAGTGCTGACAAATATCATATTTTAATAGCATATATTTTTTCAGAAATAAGAAGCTGGATGATCAGTTCCAAATCGGCTACAGAGTTGATGAGTAGAAGGCTTGAGGAAGATGGCCAAGACTCAAAATAGCCACTGTACTCACAGTGAGAAATGGAGTACTGAGGAAACAGGATTGTCGGTCTTGAGTGCCAATTTGATGCTAGAGAATATACATATGAAAAAACAGTACTTTTTGAGGCTCTATTTTTTCTCTAAACAATGCACCTCACTTGATTAGGGAAGGATGACAATGAACTTGATCCAGAATTAACGTTCTGTGAGATGGATTCTTGAGAATGATAATAGAACAAGTGAAAAAACATGTAAGAGAGTGGCTAAATTGAAATGTATTCAAGATTAAGAAGGATGTGGGGTGAGAGTAGATTATGATTTAGATAAAGAAAACATATAATGAACAGAAGGGGGAGGTCTTGGTCAGAAGAAAGGCAGGTTGAGATAAAACAGAACTGGGAGTGTAGAAAGCTGTAGTAAAAGACTGGAGTGTTTATATTTTATAAGTAGAGCTTTTCCAGATTATAAGAACTGGGGGTGTACCACTGTGAATAAGTATGTCAAAAAGTTAGAGTCAAAAGTAGGGTGGCCCATTAATGCTTGTTATCCTTACATAATCATTAATAGTTTCCCTTTCATTTATTTCTTAATCACTTTATAAAACTATGTATAAGTCTGTTCTTACACTGCTGTAAATAACTTCCTGAGACTGGGTAATTTATGAAGAAAAGAGGTTTAGTTGACTCACAGTTCCACATGGCTGGGGAGTCCTTGGGAGACTTACAATCATGGTAGAAGGCACCTCTTCTCAGGGCGTCAGGAGAGAGAATGAGTGGCAGTAGGGAAAATGCCAGACGCTTATAAAATCAGATCTCGTGAGAACTCTCACTATCACGAGAACCTCATGGGGAAACTGCCTCCATGATTCAATTACCTCCCACCAGGCCTCTCTCACAACATGTGGGGATTATGGGAATTACAATTCAAGATGAGATTTGGATGGGGACACAGCCAAACCATATCAAACTGCTTATGTGTAAATCAATAAATAGTATATGTATATTAAACCTAAAAATTTAGACAAGAGTACTTTAGTAATCCATAGGCATGTGTAATGACACTACATTTGCACCCATATTTAAATGTTTTGTAAATGGCATAATCACTGCTACATATAGTCAGGGTATACATGGTTTATAATCTCATTTATACTACCCACTCTCCTCAGGATAAATTTACTTACTTCTACTAGAAATATTATAAATTTCAAATTAATAAAGCTTTCCTGTAGTTGAGGACCACTCTTTGGCTAAAGTTCTGTTCAACCATTCATCTTCTACATAAATATGTATACATATGTAAGGTATTTATTTGTGTGGCTTTCATTTTTAAAGTTTGTAAGAACAATGTATTGTTAGTAACTGGCACACAAATTTGGTGTGAGAAATTATCCTTCAGTTCAATTCTAAACTTATAGCTCAGTTTGTTATTGTCCACCCCCAAATATGTACAATGATCATATATGGAGGAAAAATAATGGGACCCTAAATCACACTGGTTATTTGCACTACTTTGCTGAAGATTCACATATAAATATGTAAATAAGTTAATCTACACAGTTTGAGAGATATTTTAGAATTCTGTGTTCTGAACCTACGATTCTTAAAGGAAAGTGATGAGTACTTTGTAATTCACTTAGAAGTTGTAACCTTTCTGGCTAATTTTAAAATGAACAAATTTTCTGTTTATCAAATTTCTGAGTTTATCTTTCTGAATTCACTGGTTTCTAAACTTGCCTTAAGTAAGGGTCAGAAACCTAGGCAACTACCAGGAATTATGGAACCTAGCCCAGTAAATTTCAAATGTCTTAGAACTGTTTTCCACTTAGGAGAAACAATAGATTTCACTAAATCCTGAGATCAGGTGTGACAAAGGGCCTGGATACCAGGTTGGACCCCCCAGGACAACTCCATATTCTGTTAGAGGGCCTTAAAAAGTTTGATCTTATGGGTAAATGATGGATATTCTCAAAGATACCTTGATTGACACCATCATTACCACGTATCCTTTCCAAACTGAAGAGACTGGAAAATAAGTACATTTTTACTTACATAGCACCAAATATAACTACCAATTTATTTTTTATCTCAAAAGAGTATTTTAAGAGCCTCTGAAAGAGCAGAGAAACTAAAGATGAGAAGATTTAAGATCTAAAATTTAAATATTAAATTTTTCACAGAAACTTTTCCTTCTTACATGAAAAGTATTAAATAAGTTACATTTAAATGATCCCCCCAAACACATACATATTTCAAAAATCAGATACTTCTCATTTAAAAGAAAGTAGACATGATTTAAAATATAGGGGCTTAGGTGTAAAGGATGAGCTATATATCCAATTCCAATTACATTGAACCCCAAATATAAAATATAAACAAATAAAATTTTTCCTAAAAGGAAGAAAATATTTATTACCACCCTCTGCCCCCCACCCAGAAAAGTAGGTAAACTGAACAAAAGAAAATAAATGCACATGGGCTAAGATACTTTTTTGCTTTGATACATGTAAAAAAATTAATAATACTTTTTATGTTGTCTAATATTTAGAGTTATATAGATAGAAATTCTACTTTTATGAACAGGCCAACTAGGGGATGTAAGCAGAATCATTTGAACTGGCTGTCTTTACACTGACTCATCTCTTTTTTAGCTTTTTTGCACATGTAAAACATTCCATTAGATGTCCTTTATTGCCATGGCTGATGCAACCATTTTTAGGTTGTATGCTTTAAAGCACACAAAGTTCAATGGCATTAAGGAGAAAACTAGATTCACACTTTCTTCTTTCTTGTTTGTTTCTTTCCACTCAAGGTCTTTGACATTTTCTTGGCAGCTCTAAATGATGCTATTAGAAGTTGCTGGCTGACAACAGTGCTCGGTCTCTTGGGAATGGGAGGCTGATGTGAGTTCTCTCATCATTTTCCTCCACACATGAACATATTACTCTTTGGAGTAATTCACTATAGGTTTTTTGTTTGGTTTTATAATCAGGAGCATCAAAGCCCCTTCTACTCAGGTTGAGCTTATTTTCCCTCTATCACTTTGTCTTCAGGAAGTCAGTTCTCACAAAGGGCCCAACATCTGTTGAAATGGCCTAGAAGAGGAGGATTAATTTCATTTAATAAAGTACATGTCCAAGGCAGCTAAGGCAATTTTAGGACCTTCATCAAATGAATCTGTACCACTCTCCCCATGTCTAATAATCAGTAACTGGACACACCTCATCACCTTCATCTGAGAATTCTTGTTGTTCTACATTAAGGCTGTAAACTCCGAGAGACTCAAATTCAAATTCTGCAATTAATTGATCTGAAACTGAATCCTGATCCCACCAGTCACCTGAATGCTCACTTAAACCAGTATTAAGATCCGGATTTGATGCATCTCTGTCAATTCACTGCTACTGCTGCTTTCACAACATATTTCTCTTACAGGTTGTATATCCCTAACCCAAAAATCTGAAATGCTCCCAAATCCAAAATTTTTTGAGCACCACCATGACACTCAGGGAAACGCTCATTGGAGAAATGGGCTAGAAGGGGAGGATACATTTCTTTTTTTTCCTTTTCGAGATAGTGTCTCACCCTGTTGCCCAGGCTGGAGTGCAATGGTGCACCATCTCAGCTCACTGCAACCTCCACCTCCTGGGTTCAAGTCATTCTCCTGCCTCATCCTCCCAAGTACCTGAGATTACAGGCATGTGCCACCATGCACAGCTATTTTTATTTTTAAGTAGAGATGAGGTTTCACCATATTATCCAAACTGGTCTCGAACTCCTGACCTCAAGTGATCCGCCTGCCTTGGCCTGGCAGGATTCATTTCTTGTCCAAACACTTCTGGTCCCAAGCATTTAGAATAAGAAATACTCAGCCTGTATTACCCATAAAGCAAACCTTTCATTAAAGGAAAGAGAAGTACCATCAGAATTGTGGCACTTTGTCATTTGCTGGATAATTAATCTGAATTTTCATCTAGTCAGAAGTCATCTCTTTTTTTCTCTGAATTTCCAAAATACTTCTATGACCTATACTGTAAGTATTTCTGTGTTCATGTCACAAGTTCTTGGATCTAAGTTCTTAATCATGTTAGTATTCCTTGCCTCACTGATTAATTGCTCTCATTCTAGATGAGTTACATGGTCTAAAAGTCCAATTTGAAGACAAAGGTTTCTCTTCCTTTAGCTCTTACTCAGGGTCCCTTTGATCACTCTATCGTCAAGCTGTGCCTGAATCCAATGATTCCTGTGGAATGACTAACACCAAGTTTCTATAGATCATTGTATATCTTGTGCTCTTTCAGAGAAAGCTGGCATGCCAAACCAACCCCCTAGAAGATTACTGGAACACTATACAATATGCTGGTGCTTCTCATTCACATAACAGTTTAGCCATAAGATACTGACCAAACTAAAATACAGCTTCTGTCCCAGAAAGATCTGTGTACTGTATTCTGTACTGTACTCTATATATCTCTAGTGCAGAAGTTCTTAACTTATGATCCATAAATGCCCAAGAAGTCTTTATTCATAGTATAAATCCCTTTTGTGTACTAATTGTAAAATTTTAAACAATTTTAAAAGCAGTGGCTTTGGTCTCACCAAAGTCTTTTCTTCGCAAACTGAAACTTGCAAGGTGCTTGAAACACTGAGTTGACACAAACCTGTTGGTAATCCATATTTCCCAAAGTTGGGGGGGAGGGGGCAGATTTTGTGCCTATAGGAAGTCCTTCCAGACTCCCGCATTTACTTTCACCTTTTAACCAAGCACGTGGGACCCCCTACTCTTTGGCCATTAGTGTCAACCATTCCAGACTGGAAACCGTTCCATTCCAGCCACTGGGGCGCTTACAGTAGGCCCAGAGAAGAAAAAGGCTCCTGGGGGCGAAAGCAGTAGGTCGCAGGTCAGAGGGATTAAGGTTACCCCTCGGGCTTTACTTCTTGCTCCATCGTGTTGTCAGTCACACATGTCGGCACAGGCCAGAGAGGGAGATCATCTAGCTGAGGTTCCTTCACGTGTGTGCTTTTCCTCCTGACAGGAGAGAGATGGAAGGTAAGGCCTAGCAGGGGCTAGCACTTACACCTGCGCATGCGCATCCATGGCCTACCCCCCACCCCCTACCTCCCGCTAATTCTGCCTTCCATTTGCAAAATTTCCCAGGACTGGACATCTAAGTGGGTACAAAATTCATAGCCCAGTCATAAGAGGTGTTAAGAAAGCTGCGGGGGCGGATCAAATAAGAACATAGTACACACTAGTAGAACATAACATAATTGTTGAAAGCTTAAAATTCAAACTTGAGTCTTCATGCACAAAAGGCAGCAAGCCAGTAGAACATCCAGGTAGGGAACCTGTAACGTGTCAAAATTCACAATGGTGAATGATTATATGTGATGCTGTGTCCGGAATTGGTGGGTTCTTGGTCTCACTGACTTCAGGAATGAAGCCGTGGACCCTCACGGTGAGTGTTACAGCTCTTAAGGTGGTGCGTCTGGAGTTTGTTCCTTCTGATGTTCGGATGTGTTCAGAGTTTCTTCCTTCTGGTGTGTTCGTTGGCTCAGGAGTGAAGCTGCGGATCTTCGCTGTGAGTGTTACAGCTCTTAAGGCAGCGCATCTCTTAAGAGGGCGCATCTGGAGTTGTTCCTTCCTCCCCGTGGGTTCGTGGTCTGGCTGGCTTCAGGAGTGAAGCTGCAGACCTTAGCGGTGAGTGTTACAGCTCATAAAGGCAGTGTGGACCCAAAAAGTGAGCAGCAGCAAGATTCATTGCAAAGAGCTAAAGAACAAAGCTTCCACAGTGTGGAAGGGGACCCCAGCGGGTTGCCACTGCTGGCTCGGGCAGCCTGCTTTTATTCTCTTATCTGACCCCACCCACATCCTGCTGATTGGTAGAGTCTAGTGGTCTGTTTTGACAGGGTGCTGATTGGTGCATTTACAATCCCTGAGCTAGACTCAAAGGTTCTCCACGTCCCCACCAGATTAGCTAGATACAGAGTGTGGACACACAGGTTCTCCAAGTCCCCACCAGAGTAGCTAGATACAGAGTGTGGATTGGTGCATTCACAAACCCTGAGCTAGACACAGGGTGCTGATTGGTGTGTTTACAAACCTTGAGCTAGATACAGAGTGCCGATGGGTGTATTTACAATCCCTTAGCTAGACATAAAGGTTCTCCACGCCCCCACCAGACTCAGGAGCCTAGCTGGCTTCACCCAGTGGATCCCGCACTGGGGCCGCAGGTGGAGCTGCCTGCCAGTCCCGCGCGGTGGGCCCCCACTCCTCAGCCCTTGGGTGGTCTATGGGAATGGGCGCCGTGGAAGAGGGGGCGGCGCTCGTAGGGGAGGTTCCGGCCGCACAGGAGCCCACAGAGAGGGTGAGGCTCAGGCATGGCAGGCTGCAGGTCCGGAGCCCTGCCCCGCAGGAAGGCAGCTAAGGCCCCGGCGAGAAATTGAGCACAGCAGCTGCTGGCCCAGGTGCTAAGCCCCTCACTGCCCGGGGCCGGCGGGGCCCGCGGGCGCTCCCTGTGCGGGGCCTGCCCAGCCCACGCTCACCCGGAACTCGCGCTGGCCCGCAAGCACCGCGCACAGCGTCAGTTCCCGCCACCACCTCTCACTCCACACCTCCCCACAAGCTGAGGGGGCCGGCTCCGGCCTTGGCCAGCCCAGAAAGGGGCTCCCACAGTGCAGCGGCGGGCTGAAGGGCTCCTCAAGTGCCGCCAAAGTGGGAGCCCAGGCAGAGGAGGTGCTGAGAGCGAGCGAGGGCTGTGAGGACTGCCGGCACGCTGTCACCTTTCAATGCTGTTCTGATTTAATTGCCTTCAAAAGTCCAAATTTGATAAATCATTCTATAAAGACAAATGCACATGTATGTTTATTGCGGCACTGTTCACAATAGCAAACACTTGGAACCAACCCAAATGCCCATCAGTGATAGACTGGATAAAGAAAATGTGGCACATATACACCATGGAATGCAGCCATAAAAAATGATGAGTTCATGTCCTTTGCAGGGACATGGATGAAGCTGGAAACTATAATTCTCAGCGAACTAACACAAAAACAGAAAACCAAAACCACATGTTCTCACTCATAAGTGGGAGTTGAACAATGAGAACACATGGACACAGGGAGGGGAATATCACACACCGGGGCATGTCAGGGGTTGGGGGGCTAGGAGAGGGATAGCATTAGGATAAATACCTAATGCAGATCATGAGTTGATGGGTGCAGCAAACCACCGTGGCACGTGTATACCTATGTAACAAACCTGCACGTTCTGCACATGTACCCCAGAACTTTAATAATTTGTAAAAAAGTCCAAATTTGACTCCTTCCAACATTTAGCTTCTATTACAAGCCTAAAGTGTTAAAAGTTTGAGCTGGAGAATAGAGCCATTACAAAATAAAAGTAATCAACAAACTTACACATCTCCTAAACCAATGATTCACACGGGATTTCACACAGAATTCCCATTAATGCTAATGAAATTGGGTAAGTTACAAGCTGAAACTCTCCCATACATTAATAGGTGAATAGTTCCCTGAGGTACTTACTTAGATGAGCAAACTTAATTTTCTCTCCACCAGTTCTCTCTGGATAAAAAAATAAGAAATCATGCTTCACAAGTTAAGTTTCTTTTTAAAGTAGACGGCACAAATTTAGAATCATTGGTGTAGGTTAATCAAAAGCCACACTGTTATATTGACCAGGTCATTTTTGATACCTGTTGGCCTACATCTTAAAAAAGCTTGTCTTATGGCTCTGAGAGCAACCCATTTAAGTCCTTTAGATCTTGTTTCTTTCAGATTCTAGGGGAAAAAAAGGAAATATGCAATTATGTGCAGGAACTAGTTGAGAAGAAATAGAAATTCTTGATTGCCTTATTGTGAATTGAAGAGTTCAGTCACTGATTTAATTAGCTGCCTGGGGAAGGAAAGATCATGAAATGTTGAGTTAGAAACAATAAAGGTTATTCAAAGGCTTATACAATGTGATAGCACAAGTATGATAAGTTTCTGGTGCAGATGTGCTTTTTGTAGTTCAGAGGAAAGAGCAACTTTCAGTTGCTTGTCAGTGTTTTAATTTGATAATCATAACAATATCAACTTGGTTGTGTACAATTCTTTATTATCATCAAATACATTTTCTATTCATTTTCCCATTTATTACAATTACCTAGTATATAGGTAGGGCTATGGTTACTGTACCATCTTACATATGACAAAGTGAGGCTGAATTTATCAGCTTACCCATAGGGAAAAAGTAGGAGCAGTACCTCTAAAAAACATATTAAACAAATTGTGAATAAAATAAGCATGCTGATTTTGCCCCAAAATGATAATGAGAATGAGGTCACAGAAGGATTCTTAAATCTGATTTAGGCTAACATTTCCCCTTTTATAGCCAATGCAATTGAGCCTTAAAATGGGAATTTTCTAAAAATCATTACCTGGATTCTTAACGCCAAAATAATTCTAGTTTCTTGCCTTTTGGTTAGTGATATTTAGAAAGCATCTTAAATAGTGATAGCTCCCCAAATATCAAAATATATATTCGATTACATCATGCATGGACATGTACAGAGTTGCTGTTATGCACTGCTCAATGACAACTCTCTGATATGTTTTATTTTGACTACAGCCAAAATTACATTTAAGCCTCAGCAGACACATTTTGGTTAATTATCTAGCTTCAAACTAATTAAAAAAATTCTAATTTATTAGACATTAAGTATCTGTGCCATAACACATGGTATTTTCAAAACGACTAGTTTAAAATCCTCAACTGTAGTCAGAGATGTCTCAGTAATTGATAGAACGAGTACAGTGAAAATTAGATAGTAGAAGGCCTGAACAACAGTACCAACTAATTTGACCTAATTGGCATTTATAGGTCAGAGAGCAAAAACCCAACGACAGAAAAATACACATTTTCTAGTGCCCATATACTATTCACCAAGATAGATGATATTATATGACACAAAAATTATCAAAAAAATTATAAGAATGAAATTGCATAATATATGGATTCAGATCACAATGGAATGAAAATAGAAATTAACAGAAAATAGTTTTAAAGGATCCTCGAATATTTAGAAATTTCAAAACATACTTCTGAATAAATTCTATGTCAATGAAGAAAAAAGGAAATCAGGAAACATTTTGAATTAAAGTGAAAACACAACATATAAATATTTATGTGATAGAGATAATGTCATGGTTAGAAAAAATACATAGCATTTGAAAAAAAAGTGTTTCAGATGAATCTTTGGAGGGTCAGCCTAAGAAACTAGAAAAAGAAGAGCAAATGAAACTCAAAGCCCATAAGAAGTGAGGATATAATAAAGATAAGAACAGAAATCAGGGAAATTAAAAATATTAAATCAAGAAAATCATTAACACCAAAACTGGTCCTCTAAAAAGATCAATGAAAAATGGACAAATTTCTGGACTGATTGATTAACACAGAAAAAGATAAGACACAAATTGTCAATATTAAGAATAAAAGACTATAACTTTAGCTCTTACTGACATTAAAATTATAAAGGGACATTATGAGCAATATTCTATAAATTTGATAATGTAGGTAAAATGGACAAATACTTTAACAGTTACAGCTAAAAAAGGTAAATTTTACTATATATAATAAACTATGTTTGAATAAACCTGACTTTATAAAAAGACATTCGTCTACTCGGAAAAGTAAACAAAATTCAGCCTGAGTGTAATGAACACCGTAGTGTATTTTTGTGTGTGTGCTGTTTTTATTTTGTTTTTATATTGCAGTTCCACAGTTTTGTACAACATTCAGATTATACAATACTGCTTAGAGTTCAGTTCCTCTGTATTTGGAAAGTACACATTCATTCTCACTTTTTTCTCCATTATTCTGCTTTAACACATCTTGTAGTTAAGATACTAATACACTTTCACTTTTGGATGGGTTCTACTACATTCAAGAGAAGCTTTTGGGTACAAGAAGTAGAGCTAAGACTCATTTTCCCTGCCTGGGACTGAATGAGTCCATTGGGTTACCTTATTTATTTTTTTTCTTAATTTGAACCATAAGAATTTGACTAAGTGTATTAAAAACTATATTGTCTGCATGGACTGATTTTTTTGAGACAGGTAGAATTATCACATTACTTTTTGCCCTGTAATAGCTGTAGGCTTTGTGTGCTGGTGGTCAATCACTAGTATAAAATAAAAATGCTTTGTAACATGAGCATTAAGTATTCATTAAGTGATTAATAGATCCAGGAAGATAGAAAAAAATAGATCATGATAGTCTTTATTAGTAGGAGAGATAATAACATGATAGCTATAATTTATTGAACGCTTATACGTGCCAGTGTGCTAAGCAATTTTCATTCATTACTTAAATTCTCATAACATCATTAAGACATAAGTATAATTCTCAATGTACCACAGGATATGATACTAAAGACTAAGAAATATTCTGCTGAATAAATTAGCAAAACTTAAGGGAGAAAAAAGTCACCCAGTGTTGGCAGTGAGTGTTGGAAACTATATGCATTCAAACTTTCATTGTAGGTAGGGGGTTAAATTAATAAAAAACAATTTTATTAAGTAATTTCTACTATATATCAAGAGTCATAAAGCTGCTTTATATTTTGATAGACTATATGCAAGTCTAGGAACACACTCTAAAGGAATAATCTAAGCATCTAAGCTTGCTATGGCCTGAGTATCCCCTCTAAAACTCATCTTGTAACCTGGTCCCCAGTGGGGCAGTGTTGAGAAATGGGGCTTTTAGGAGGTAATTAGATCACAAGGGCTGTGACCTTATGAATGAATTAATCCATTCATGAATAAATAAATTGATCCATACATGGTTAAAGAAATTAATGGGCTAATCAATGGGTTATCATAGGAGGGGAATTGCTGGCCCACCTCAAGACTCTGAGGAGTCCCCACTGGCAAGAAGGCTTTTACTAGAGGCATCCCCTTCATGTTGGACTACTCGGCCTCTGTAATTGTAAAAAATGCATTCATTTTCTTTGTAAATTACCCAGTTTCAGGTATTCTATCATAAACAACAGAAAAGAGACTAAGACAAAGCTACAAAAAAAAAAAAAACAAAAATGTGTGATTAATGATATTAATTTAAGAAGTAGCCATAAGAATAATTTAGAATTGTTAAATAAAATGTAACCATATGATGTAATATTAAATTTAATATAGAAATGTGTGCATATATATGTTTATAAAAATGAATAAATTTCTATAGATATCCCTTGATTAAAACTGATCAAATAATGATGCACATACTAGAATACAATTAACCAAAAATTTAATTTCTTACATATCTCACCACTTTAGTTATATTCTTGCAACAGTGAATTACAAATAGTGCCTCAAATGAAGCTCTGGCATATACCTTCATCTATGCTACGTTTTTCCCTGGAATGACTTCCTTCTTTGTTCAACCCACTTATCTTTTTTTTTTTTTTTTTTTGTGGGGGCGGGTACGGAGTCTCGCTCGTCTCCCAGGCTGGAGTGCAGTGGCGCGATCTCGGCTCACTTCAAGCTCTGCCTCCCAGGTTCACGCCATTCTCCTGCCTAAGCCTCCCGAGTAGCTGGGACCACAGGCGCCCGCCACCAAGCCCGGCTAATTTGTTGTATTTTTAGTAGAGACGGGGTTTCACCGTGTCAGCTACGATGGTCTCGATTTCCTGACCTCGTGATCCACCCGCCTCCGCCTCCCAAAGTGCTGGGATTACAGGCCTAAGCCACCACACCTGGCCCAACCTATCTTATCCTTTAAGATAAAGTACAGGATTTACCTTTCCTGAGAATTTTTTTCTGCCCCTTTTCCATGTACATGTATGGGTCCCCCTAGATATCTTGCAATACTGAAGTGTGACAAGTTATTTTAAAAATGGTCTTTTCTTAGGTTGCTGCCTACTCTGGGGCTCGTTGTGCACTCAGAGGCTGTTGTTCTATTTCTTCTAAATATTCTCAGGACCTAGCAAACTAGCAAGTGCTGGCCATGTAGGAAGTATCTAAGTTTCTAGGAACTAAACCTGTATGTTCTGAAGTGCAGCCACTGTTTCTATTAAGATATTATGATTAAGATACCATGTTTCCATTTTTCTCACTTTCTCATAATTTTATACTGTGGTTGTACCGTTTGTATACTGATCAAAATATATGCATTTAAACAAAATGAAATATGAAGCCAATATATAATGTCTATAATTGTGTCAGTATTACTCTTCAACCAGCAAATTTTAGAACTACTTACAGAATAATGACGTATTTTATTAAAATGTTTAAATATTTATTTGAAATCTGGGGTCAAAATGGAAGGAAACACATAAAAAAGAAATGGTGCTTGTCTATAGATGCCAACTTTAATGTCATTGTAGAGTATATTAAAGCATGAAAATTTCAAATAGCCAAATCAATACTCCACATATTGTTTCAAAAAAGTGTGTATAACTGAGGTTCAATTCACTCCTCTAATAACAGAAGCTAACTGTTCTAAAAAAAAAAAAACACGAAGTAAATTATAAAGGATGACATTAAACTAATATAGATATTTCAGATATCTAGCCAGGAAGATGTCCTTTCATAATCACACAGTTTGTGTGCATCCTGACCCTACCATAGACATACAACATAATTTCAAATCACTGTGGTTGTTGTGATTTCTGGGAAGTAAGGGAGAAACCACAGTTAAGAAACAATGTTAAATTTACTGAAGACACTTATTTGAGTAAGCATCTTAGATTTAGTGCACACTGAGAGATGATTAGCTCTCTTTTGGCTTGGGTGGAGACTTGCTTTAGGGAGTGTTTACCAGCTAATTGATTGTTAGGTATTTGAAAACAGTAAAGCACAGAACCCATGCAGGAATGTTGAGCTTCTCTGAGGTTGTGTTTCTCTTTCCAAATACCAACCATAGGATACCATCTGATACATTAAAAGTTCTGGCGGCCAATAAGTTTATTAAAAAAAAAATACTGTGACACTCTAAAGAAATTTCTAAGAAAGAACTGAAAAAAATAAGCCAAAAAATCACAGTACAAAAGGAAAATAACTAAGTTAATGCCCAGACATGATAACTAAGCATGCAACAGAACATCTTTGATCCTCTACACATATGCAGAAGCCGTTAAAGACAAATGTTACAGGTAAAAGCAATAAAAAGGATTACCTCTAGGGAGAGAAAACAAGAACACATATTTAGATGCTCTGTAGAATAGAAAACAAAGCCAGGCAAGCAGTAAAAGATCTGAAAATTGAAAGAGAAAATCAAATCAGTGGCTTTTCTGCCTCATCCATCTGCCTGAATCCAGACAGCACACTTTAGAGTCCAATAGAGTGAAAACTAGATTGGGCAACTTCAGCAGAAACACATCCTCTCCATTTTTAAAATAATGAAAACAGTAACAGAGGCATGACTAGGAACCAATGGAAGAAACATCCAGGGAAACTGCACAAGGGACAGTCAGAAAGGCAATGAAAGGGAGTTTATTCATTGGAATGACAATTCAGCATGGCTGGACCAGACTACATGGATCAATGGCCTGGAAGAAATTGGTTGAAAAAAAATGTGAATCTGCTAATGATCACATTTGGTCAGGCAAGAAAAAGGGTACTGAGATGCTTGGGAAGAGTGTGTCTGGTTTTTGAAGTGATATGAGACTGTTTAAATTCATAAGAAGGGCCCTCGGAGTCCTCACCATCTATCTACCCACCGGCTTCCTCCCTCACCATCTTCTCCTTGGCTCTTTGGCATGGAGGAGGAGCTTTGAGACTAACCCAGACCCTTCACTGAGGTTTAAAAGGACCTTTATAAGCTGCGTCATCATGTTCTTACCAGCCTTTATCCTATATTTCCCTGTTGTTTGCATAGCTCTGGCCACTGGTTCATCCCACCAAAACTTGAAGCTCATCCATCTAATCAATGTGTTTTTACATGTTACTGTTGCTGGAAGTTTTTTTCTCCAGTTCCCTTCACTCATATGTCACCTTATCTGTGAAATTTCCCTGGCTATACTCTCCTACCACTTTTTTATCGTACTTTAAACAATCTCATAAATCTTACCTACATCTGAAATCATATATAATTACTCATATTAGAATATGAACTCCTGAAATATGGTTTGTTCATTACTCAATCCCAAGCAACTGAAAGAGTAAGAATCAGTAAATATGTTTTAATTAAAAATTGATTGGCAGAAGAACAATGATAATTCCTGTCTTGAAGAAAGGATGAGGAAGAACAAATAGACATGGAAGCCTACATTATGCCAAGACAGATGCTAAGTATTTTACATGCATTATTTTTCATTAAATCCTCATACCAAACCAAAGGGATAGTTATCATCCTGACTTTACAGGAATCTATTGTGGCTAAAAACAATGGAACAACTTAACCAAAGTCACACAGTCACACAACTACTGAGAAGAACTTGGCTTCAAATCTGATTTGGAACTCCATGTTCTACCTACTTTACCATACTGACCCTTCTTTGTCCTGTTTATTTTCTTTCCTAATTGGCTCATTTTCCAACATGTTCTGTGAAGCAGACTACAGTGGCCTTCTTCTTTGAGTGGCATCCTATTCTGATCATCAATTGGACTTTTACGAGAAAATATATAGGCTTGAGATACTGGCTATTAGTTTTATGTATCTATTTTATTTCTTTAAATAATAAGACCTTTTAGGACACTAACCTTGTCTGTTTCTTCTTTGCCTGTCCTGATTACCTCTCTCCTCCATTGATAGGGTTTGGCTGTGTCCCCACCCAAATCTCATCTTGAATTATAATTCCCATAATACCCACGTGTCATGGGAGGGACAGTTGGGTGGTAATTGAATCATGGGGGTGGTTGCCCCCATGCTGCTGTTCTCATGATAGTGAGTTCTCATGAGAGCTGATGGTTTTATAAAGGGCTTTTCCCCCTTTTGCTGAGCACTTCTTGCTGCTGCTGCCATGTGAAGAAGGACCTGTTTGCCTCCCCTTGTGCCATGATTGTAAGTTTCCTGGGGTCTCCTTAGCCCTACAGAACTGTGAATCAACTAAAACTCTTTCCTTTATAAATTACCCAGTCTTGAGGGTTTTTTTGTTTTTGTTTTTGTTTTTTTTTTCTTTTTGAGACAGAATCTCACTCTATTCCCCAGGCTGGAGTGCAGTGTTGCAACCTCAGATCACTGCAACCTCCGCCTCCCGGGTTTAAGGGATGCTCATGCCTCAGCCTTCCAAGTAGGTGTGATTACAGGAGTGTGCCACCATGCCTGGCTATTTTTTGTATTTTTAGTAGAGACGGGGTTTTACCATGTTGGCCAGGCTGGTCTCAAACTCCTGACATCAAGTAATCTGCCCGCCTCAGCCTCCCAAAGTGCTGGAATTACAGATGTGAGCCACCACGCCCAGCTAAGTATGTCTTTATAACACTGTGAGAACAGACTAATACACCCATCCTGCCATGTCCCCTACCCTCATGTGTGCCCTCCCTTCCCATGCTCCTAACCCTCATTCCACCTGCCCTTCTCTGTCCCCTGCCCTACTGTGCCTACTGCCCTTCAACACCCCTGCCTGCCTATGCCTCCTACATCCTTCTGTCCCCTGCCCTAACTTGGACCACAGTTCTCTACAGATAGAGATAAGCTTGATAATAGCTTAGCATAAAAATAGAAGAAATTATAGTATTATAAATAGGCTTTTCTTATATCCAGATACATCTTCATCACTTTTATGACAATGGCTGGAAAAATGAATAACACAGAAAAAATAGAGTGAATGATCATCTCGATTGCTTTGTTTTGTCCATGCTTAGTGAACACAGCCTCATTCAAGTATCTGTGGTCATTTTCCTTTGAGAAATGATTGGTCTAGTACTTACGAGCATGTATTTCGGAGCAAGATAAACCTGGATTCACATTCTTACTGTGACTCTTCCTAGCTGGTGACCTAGTTAATTTACCTAGTCCGTATCTCTAAAATGGGGTGATAGAATATTTCAAAAGATTCTTATAAGGAATAAAAAAAAACTAACATATGTACATTTCTTACCAAACTGTTAGGATCATGGAAAGCATTGAATAACTATCTATACTGTTCACAACTGGTAGAAGTATCACCCCAGCCTATTGGTGGGTTTACACCAGCAGACTGTGGAAAAATTCTCTTTTCCCTTAGAAGAGTGTATGGAATTTAACCAAAGGCTCCCAGGGACATTGAAATGTTTGGTGTTTTTATTCCTATGTGATACATCTCTACTTAGGGGAAAGTACGCTATTCCTTTTCAAAAGATTTGATGCTGAAATTAGTAAAAATAATAACAAATCTTTTCTATTTCAAGAGATTCCCTTTGTTATCATTTGCTCTCTTGGTTTGCCACTTATACTTCTAAATATCTTTTAAGTTACATTTTGCTAATTATAAACTATTGTATTCTATGCCATTCAAAGAGTAACAATCACAATGTAGATAATTTATGAATATGATAAAACGCCAGTAATACTCACTAATAGCTAGATCTTTGTTCCTTCTTGCACATACATGAGTCTAAAATTCTCACCCCTTAATAATTAAGCGGGGCCATGTGATAACCAATGAAATGTAAATAAAAATAATATGTGTTTTTGGCTAACACAATCGAGCCCTGCAGGATTGGACAGTTTGTTCTTCCTCTGCAACAACTATGACCAACAAGGAGTGTGCCAATAAGGCAGAACCAAAGGATCAAAGTGGCATTGAGTTATTCAGTAGAGATCAAGTGCCCTGGAGAGTGTCCCAGATTTGCAGTAAACTTTACATAAATGAGGAGGGAGATTTTGTTGTAATAAGTCAATATTACCATGAAGTTTGTTATAGTGTAGCAGGCATGTGCAGGAAAGAGTTAACTGATTGGATATGAGTTGCATAAAACTTGCACATTCCCAGAAGGGCCTAGTTTTTTTGACTGGCCCTTGGTGGGCTGCTGAGAACTGAGTGCTTGGAATGTTCAAACTGATAAGACTGTTTTGCGTGCCTGGAGCCTTGAAGGAAGCTATATCAGTTTGTCTAGAGAGTTTGTATAAATGATGTGATTGCAGTTACGCCAACTGCAGACCTCCAAAAGAAAAGGAGATGTGGTGAGGTCTGCAATTGGAGTAACTGCAGTCAGTCGAGAAGACATCTAGTGCTTATGTGATCAGCCTCTCATAAAAACCCCAGACTTAGGCTCAAGCAAGCTTCACACTGTATTTATGTTGCTATAGTTTATAGCAGAAAGAAGTAAGTGTACTTTGAGTGACTGTTCTGGGAGAAATCACTTAAAACTTACTTCTGGTTTTCTCCAGGCTTTGCCTGATGCTTCATTTGCTGATTTTACTTTGTAAATTTTGACTACAATAAACTCTAACCATATGTGAATCCCAAGTTCTTTGAGTCCTTTTAGTGAATCAACAAACAGAGGGTGATCTTTGGGACTATTGAGACACTTCCCTAACCTGTACAGAAAATTGATATTGGAAGTAGGACCTATCACAATAAAAACCTGAAATATTTGTCATTGCTGTTTTGGAGGTCTAAAGTACGGTGATTTGCAGAAGTTTTGTCATATGTGATAGAATGGCAAAACGCTTGTTTAGGCTAATTTGATAATTAGATCATATAGATAATGAACTTGTCCTCCAGATCTGGGAGTCTAGAGAAAAAGTTTGGAAAACAAATTTTAGGGTTGTATTTTGAATGGAATTGACCACATTTTATAGGGCATTTTGAGAAAGTGATGAGCTCAGCAAAGAATTGGCCGTGGAACACAATTTAAGCATTCCAGGTCTTGCAACAATAGAGAATGTAACTGCTTTTGAATTCCAAAATATAAGTGATAATAAATTAAGGACTTTGAAAGTCAAAAAGCCTGTAAAAACTCAGCCATGAAACAATGATTAAATTAAGGGACATTTCACCTTTTGTTAAAACTTCTCAAAAGACATAAGTATCTTAAAACAAAAAATCAGATTAAGTATCAGTGCCCAATAAATTAATATTAACTCTTAAAATATCTTGAGGTAAATATAAGATTTAGAGTATGTTTCATCTACAATTCAAAATAGACTCAGTAAGTCAATAAATAAATGTAAGTGAATAAAAAATAAATAAAATCAAAGAAACATGCTGGACCTGAGAACATGTAAAAAATGTCTTTGAAGCAACTGCAGGTATGGTTCCTAGTACATGGATCTGAATTGATTCAAGCATATAAAAGTCCTACGGTGTTTTTTGTTGTTGTTGTTTTTAAATAGTACTGTATTGCTACAGAAACTTGGAGAACACACTGAAAAAACCCGTGATTCTTTGAGACTAACAAATGATCTTTGCATTTGTCGAAAATATTGATTATGTTCACTCGCTCCAGGAATCACTTCCAACAATTCCTGAAACAATTCCTTTAACTGAGGACTATAAAGGACTATGCAGGAAACTTTGCAGATTGGTATCAGACAGAGCAGAATTTGGATCCAAGTTCCATTATGGACTAGCTATGGAACATTGGGCAATTTAAATGGGAATAATTATAATGCCATTTCAGAAGGCCATTGTGAAGATTAAATGCGTGTAATTGCTTAGTATAATTTCTGCCACATGGAAAGCATCCAATAAATGTTAACATTTACTATCAAAATTATTTTTGGGCTTCCATGCTTCTACGGGCAGGTAGTGGGTTGATAATCTGTTATAGCCCCAAGAAGGACATATTCCCCAAACACTTCAAATATGAGCACGGAGAATAATGTAAGAGGGAAAAAAAGAAACAACTTTCTGAAGATGGAATAAGGAGGTTTCTGAGGACAATGCAAAAGGGAACTTCCTCCCAGAGAGCAGAATAAGGGCCCCATTAAAGAATATTCTCTACCCTCAGGTGAGGCTGCTCACATAACGTCTGCCCGGTGGGATTTAAAAATTTCTAAAGACCAGTGACCTCTTGCTATTCCTTATTCTTCTCTGTTCAGAGTCAGCATGTTTATTGTAATTATCCTACCTTTATTTTACTATTATACCCTACATATGTGAGTGGGGGCAAATGGTTGTCTTTAGAGTTCATAGGTTCCAGTTTAAGAGGAGCCACATCCAGACCTGATAGACTATCGCACAACATCTAAACTTTCAGGCTGTTATAGGATAAGATTTGGGTGGTCTTCCTTGGCAAGGGGATGTGTGCTTTGCAAAAAAAATTAAACTTAACATATTAGAACTGGAAGAATAAATTGACAAACTTTACCAGTGCTCATAGTATCCAATTCTCCTCTCATTCCTTGGCTTATAGAAGCTGTACTTCCTGGCCGGGTGTGGCGGCTAATGCCTGCAATCCCAGCACTTTGGGAGGCCAAGGCGGACGGAGCTCATGAGGCCAGGAGTTCAAGAACAGCCTGGTCAACATGATGAAACCCAGAGCTCTACAAAAAAAATTAGGTAGGCGTGGTGGTGCGTGCCTGTGATCTCAGCTACTCAGGAGGCCGAGGGAGGAGAATTGCTTGAACCTGGGAAGCAGAGGTTGCAGTGAGCTGAGATGGTGCCACTGCACTCCAGCCTGGGTGAGAGTGTGAATCCATCTCAAAAAAAAAAAAAAAGAAAAAAAAAAAGAAAAAAAGAAACTGTACTTCCCAACATTCTTAAACTAGATAAAAGACCATGTGGCTAGTTCTGGCTAATGAAATGCATCATTTCAAGTGGAGGCAGTGAAAAGACCCAGAAAATTTTTTATCTCATGATCTCACTTCTGCAATTATTATGAAGGAGTCCTCCTGTTGAGATGACCAAGTCTCAAGTGCTACAGGCTGGATAGAGGAGAGATGCCAATGAGACTTTTCTAGACCCAGAGTCTAATTTTACCAGACCAGCATTACACGGACAGAAAAACCAGACAATGACCCTACCAGAAAAGAAAATTACCGGCCAATATACCTGATGAACATAGAAAAAAAAGTTTTCCACAAATTACTAGCAAGCCAAATTAAACAGCACATGAAAAGGATCACACACCATAATCAGGTGGGATTTATATCATGAATGCAAAGATGGTTCAACGTATGCAAATCCATAAATGTGATACACCACATTAACAGGCTGAAGTACAAAAACCATATGGTCATCTCAATAGATGCAGAAAAATAATTTGACAAAATTCAACATCCTTCCACAATAAAAATTGAACAAACTGGATATGGAAAGAATGTACCTCAACATGATAAAGGCTGTATACAGCAAGTCCACAGCTAACATCATACTCAATAGTGACAAGTCAAAAGCTCTTCCTCTGAGATCAGAAATAAGACAAGGATGTCAATTCTTACCACTTCTATTCAGCATAATACTGGAATTTCTAGCCAGGGCGATTTGGCAAGAGAAGGAAATAAAAGGCATTCAAATCTTAAATCTTAATGTCTCTTCAAAAAAACTTTTGAACTAATAAATAAATTCAGTAAAGTTGCAGGATAAAAAATCAACATACAAAAATCAGTTGGGTTTCTATGCATTAACAAGAAACTACCCCCCCCAAAAAAAAATCAAGAAAACAATTTCATTTTGGATAGCTATAAAAAATAAAATAAAATACCATTGGCCCTCTGTATCTGTGGGTTCCATGTGCACAGATTCAAACAAACCTGAATTGAAAATACTTAGAAAAAAAATTTCTGTTCTGAAAATGTACAAACAAATTTTTTTTCTTTTTTTTGAGATGGAGTCTCACTCTGTTGCCCAGGCTGGAGTGCAGTGGCATGATCTCGGCTCACTGCAAGCTCTGCCTCCCAGGTTCATGCCATTCTCCTACCTCAGCCTCCCGAGTAGCTGGGACTACAGGCACCTGCCACCACACCTGGTTAATTTTTTGTATTTTTACACTGTGTTAAATAGATGGGGTTTCACTGTGTTAGCCAGGATGTTCTCAATCTCCTGACCTCATGATCTGCCTGCCTCGGCCTCCCAAAGTGCCAGGATTACAAGTGTGAGCCACCACGCCCAACCAAACAGAATTCTTTTGGTCATGATTTCATAGGCAATACATAATAGTAACTACTGATATACCATTTATATTATATTATGTTTTACAAGTAATCTAGAGATGATTTAAAATATGTGGGAGAATGTGTATAGGTAATATGCAAACAATGTGCAATATTTTTCTTATTTATTTTTGTACATGAATAAGTTATTTAATGATGATTTCTAAGATTTTGGTGCATCCATCACCTGAGCAGTGCACACTGTACCCAGTAGGTAGTCTTTTATCCCTCAACCCCCTCCCATCCTTTTCCCTGATTCTCCAACGTCCATTGAATCATTCTTATGCCTTTGCGTCCTCATAACTTAGCTCCCATTTATGAGTGAGAATGTTGATGTTTGGCTTTCCACTCCTTAGTTGCTTCACTTAGGATAATTGTCTCCAATTCCATCCAGGTTGCTGCCATTATTTTGTTTCTTTTTATGGCTGAGTAGTATTCCATGGTATATGTATGTACCATATATTCTTTTTCCACTCACTGATGGGCATTTGGGCTGGTTCCATATTTTTGCAATTGCTGAATTGTGCAGCTATAAGCATGCATGTGCAGGTATCTTTTTCATATAATGACTTCTATTCCTCTGGGTGGATACCCAGGAGTAGGAATGTTGGATCAAATGATAGATCTATTTTTAGTTCTTTAAGGAATCTCTACACTCTTTTGCATCGTGGTTGTACTACTTTACATTTCCACTAACAGTGTAAAAGTTCTCCCTTTTCACCACATACATGTTGACATCTATCACTTTTTGATTTTTGGTTTTGGCCATTCTTGCAGGAGTAAGGTGGTATTGCATTTTGGTTTTGACTTGCATTTCCCTGATAATTAGTGATGTTGAGCATATTTTTTCCTACGTTTGTTGGCCATTTGTGTATCTTCTTTTGAGAATTGTCTATTCATGTGCTTAGCCCAGTTTTTGATGGAATTGTATGTTTTTTTCTTGCTGATTTGTTTGAGTTCCTTATAGATTCTGAATATTAGTCTTTTGTTGGAAGTATAGATTGGGAGGATTTTCTCCCACTCTGTGGGTTGTGTCTTTGCTTTGCTGATTATTTCTTTTGCTGTGAAGAAGGTTTTTCGTTTAATTAAGTCTCATCTATGTATCTTTGTTTTTGTTGCATTTGCTTTTCGGTTTTTTGTCATGAAGTCTTTGCCTAAGCCAATGTCTAGAATGGTTTTCCCAATGTTATCTCATAGAATTTTTATGGTTTCAGATTTTAAATTTAAGTCCTTCATCCATCTTGAGTTGATTTTTGTATAATGTGAGAGACAAGGATCCAGTTTCATTCTTCTACCTGTGGGTTGCCAATTATCCCAGCATCATTTGTTGAATAGGATGTCTTTTCTCCACTGTATTAGCAGGGTTCTCTAGAGGGACAGAATTAATAGAATATATGTATATATGAAAGGGAGTTTATTAAGGAGAATTGGCTCACATGATTACAAGGTAAAGACCCACGATAGGCCGTCTGCAAGCTGAGGAGCAAGGAAGCCAGTGGTGGATCAGTCTGAGTCCCAGAACCTCAAAAGTAGGGAAGCTGACAGTGCAGCCTTCAGTGCATGGCCAAAGGCCCAAGAGCCCCTAGTAGACCACTGTTGTAAGTCAAAGAGTGTAAAAGCTGAAGAACTTGGAGTCTGATGTTCAAGGGCAGGAAGCATCTAACACGGGAGAAAGATGAAGGCAGGAAGACTCAGCAAATCTGCTCTTTCATCTTCCCTTGCCTGCTTTATTCTAGCCACACTGGCAGCTGATTAGATGGTACCCAACCAGATCGAGAGTGGTCTGCCTCTCCCAGTCCACTGATTCAAATGTTAAACTTTGGCAACACCCTCACAGACACATCCAGGAACAATACTTTGCATTCTTCAATCCAATCAGGTTGGCACACCGTATTAATCATCACACCTACTTTATGTTTTTGTTGCTTTGTCAAAGATCAGTTGGCTGTATTTGGTTTTATTTCTGGGTTCTCTATCCTGTCCCATTGGTCTATATACCTATTTTTATACTGGTACCATGCTGTTTAGGTGACTATGGCCTTATAGTTTGAAGTCAGGTAATGTGATGCCTCCAGATTTGTTCTTTTAGCTTAATCTTGCCTTGGCTACAAAGGCTTTTTTTTGTTGTTGTTGTTCCATCTGAATTTTAGGATTGTTTTGTCTAGTTCGGTGAAGAATGATGGTGGTATTTTGATGGGAATTGCATTGAATTTGTAGATTGCTTTTGGCAGTATGGTCATTTTCACAATATTGATTCTACCCATCCATAAGCACAGGATGTGTTTCCATTTGTTTGCATTGTCTATGATTTCTTTCAGCAGTATTTTGTATTATAGTTTTCCTTGTAGAAGTTTTTCACCTCCTTGGTTAGGTATATTCCTAAGTATCTTTTTATTTGTATTTTTTGCAGCTATGATAAAAGGGGTTGAGTTCTTGATTTGATTTTCAATTTGGTCGCTGTTCGTATATAGTAGAGATGCTGATTTGTGTACATTAATTTTGTATCCTGAAATTTTGCTGAATTTATTGACAAGTTCTAGGAGCTTTTTGGATGAGTCTTTTGGGGTTTCTAGGTATATGATAATATCATCAGCAAACAGTGAAAGTTTGGGCTTCTTCTTTACTGATCTGGATGCCCATTATTTCTTTCTCATCTGATTGCTGTGGCTAGGACTTCCAGTACGTTGAATAGAATTGGTGAAAGTGGGCATCCTTGTCTTGTTCCAGTTCTCAGGGGGAAAGCCTTTAACTTTTCCCATTCAGTATAGTGTTGGCTGTGGGTTTGTTATGGATAGCTTTTATTACCTCAAGGTATGTCCCTTGTATGTCGTTTTGCAGAGGGTTTTAATCATAAAGCGATGCTGGGTTTTGTCAAATGCTTTTTCTGTGTCTATTGAGATGATCATGTGATTTTTGTTTATGTGGCCTATCACATTTATTGACTTGTTAAACTATCCCTACATCTCTGCTATGAAACCCACTTGATCATGGTGGATTATCTTTTTGATATGCTGTTAGATTCGGTTTGCTAGTATTTTGCTGAGGATTTTTGCATCTATGTTCATCAGGGATATTGGTCTGTAGTTTTCTTTTTTTTTTGTTATGTTCTTTCCTGGTTTTGGTATTAGGGTGACACTGGCTTCATAGAATGATTTAAGGAGAATTCCCTTTCTCTATCTTTTGCAATAGTGTCAATAGGATTGGTACCAATTCTTCTTTGAATGTTTGATAGAATTCAGTGGTGAATCCATCTGATCCTGAACTTTTTTTTGTTGGTAACTTAAAATTGCAATTTTAATCTCACTGCTTGTTATTGGTTTGTTTAGAGTTTCTATTTCTTCCTGGTTTAATCTAGAAGGGTTGTATATTTCTAGGAATTTACCCATTTCGTCTAGGTTTTCTGGTTTACGTGCAGAAAGGTGTTTAAGGTAGCCTTGAATGATCTTTTGTATTTCCATTATATCAGTTGTAATATCTCCCATTTTGTTTTGAATTGAGCTCATTTGGATCTTTTCTCTTTTTTTCCTGGTTAATCTCACTAATGGTCTATCAATTTTATTTATCTTTTCAAATAACCAGCTGTTTGTTTCATTTATCTTTTGTATTTATTTTTGTTTCCATTTCATTTAGTTCTGTTCTGATTTGGTTATTTATTTCCCTCTGCTTGGTGTGGGTTTGGTGTCTTCTTGTTTCTCTAGTTCCTTGAGGTGTGACCTTAGATTGTCCGTTTGTGCTCTTTCAGACCTTTTGATGTAGGCATTTAATGTTATGAACTTTCCTTTTAGCACTGCATTTGCCGTATCCCAGAGGTTTTGATAGGTTGTGTCACTATTATCATTCAGTTCAAATAATTTTTTAATTTCCATCTTGATTTTGATGCAGGATTTTAATTTCCATCTTGATTTTGATGCAGAATTTTTCTCAGACACTTTGCCAACTGGGGACCTCCATGGCTAGTGACAACCCCAGCCTGAGCCTTGATTGAGACTTGTTTTGTTATCTAGCGTATGGTCTATCTTGGAGAATATGCCATGTGCTGATGAATAGAATATATATTCTGTAGTTGTTGGGTAGAATACCCCATTAAGGATATTGGACAAACATCCATTAAGTCCATTTGTTCTAGGGCATAGTTTAAGTCGATTGTTTCTTCATTGACTTTCTGCTTAATGACTTGTCTAGTGCTGTCAGTGGAGTATTGAAGTCCTGCATGAATATTGTATTGCCACGTATTTCATTTCTTAGGTGTGGTTCCCAGGCCAATGGAGTCATGTTCCTAAGGGGGTTATATCTGCCCCTGCTGCATCACACAGGTCACCAGGGAAGTGGGGTGAAGCTGGAAGGCACAGGCCTCACCCAGCTCCCAGAGAGCCCAAAGTGCAAAAGACTAGTCTAACTCCCACTGTGCTCCTCTAACAGCACCGGGTTTATTTCCAGGTAGCCAGTGAACAGTGGTGATAACTTGCCCCAGGCTACATGCCTCCCAGGTGAGAAAGCAAGCTGACTCGCAGTTTCTTGGCTGTCCTATGGAATCTGCAGCAGAAATTCGATTCCTTCAAAAGGTCTGTGGATTCTCAACTAGGCAATTTTATACCAGAGTGATATAGTTTGGCTGAGTTCCCACGAAAATCTCACCTTGAATTGTAATAATCCCCATGTTCAAGGGTGGGGCCAGGTGGAGATAATGGAATCAGCAGGGGTGGTTTCCCCCATACTGTTCTTGTGGTAGTGGATAAGTCTCATGAGATCTGATAGTTTTATGAAGGGAAATGCCCCTAAACAAGCTCTTTTGCCTGCTGCTATGTTAAGATGTGACTTTGTGTCTCATTTGCCTTCCACCATGATTGTGAGGCTTCCTGAGCCATGTGGAACTGTGAGTCAATTAAACTTTTTTGCTTTATAAATTTCCCATTTTCAGCTATGTTTTTTAGTAGCCTGAGAACAGACTAATACACAGGGACTTGAGCATCTACAGATTTGTGTATTAATGGGAAGCCTCAGTTAAGATTAGGTTTAGGGTTAGGGTTACAGCTAAGGAAACCAGTCACCTATGTATACCAAGGGATGACTGTACTTAGGAATTAATTTAACCAAAGAAGTGAAAGGCCTTCACATTGAAAACTATAAGATATCGATGAAAGAAACTGAAGAAGTCACAAATAAATGGAAAATATCTCATTATCATGAATTGGAATAACTAATGCTGTTAAAATGTCCGTTACTACCCAAAGACATTGACAGACTTATTGCAAGCCCTATTTAAATCCCAATGGTATTTTTCACAGAAATAGAAAAAAAAATTTAAAACTACTGTGGAACCACAACAGACCCCACACACTCAAAGAAATCTTGAGCAAAAAGAATAAAGCTGGAAGCATCACACCAACTGCTTCCAAATATATTACAAAGCTGTTGTAATCAAAACAGCATGGTACTGGCATGGAAACAGAAACATAGATCAATGGGACAAAATAGAGAACCCAGCAATAAATTCACAAATGTATAGTCTATTAATTAAAAAAATGTCAAGATCACACAATGGTGAAAGGACAGTCTCTTTAATAAATGGTGTTGGGAAAACTAGCTATCCATCTGTGGAAAAATAAAATTAGGCCTTTATCCTTCACCATGTGCAGAAATCAACAGAAAATAGATTAAAGAATTAAACGTAAGACCTCAAACTATGCAACTTCTAGAAGAAAACAGAAAATATCCATGGCAGTGGTCTGGGCAATGATTTTTTAGATATCACCTCAAAAGCAGAGGCAACAAAAGCAAAAATAGACAAATGAGATTATGTCAAACTAAAAAGTTTCTAAACAACAAAAGAAATGATAAACAGAATAAAGAGACAATAAATGGCATGAAAAAAATTGCAAACCATATAGCTGATGAGTTAGTATCCAAAATCTATAAGGAACTCAAGCAACTCAATTGTAAGAAAGCAATTAACTCAATTACAAAATGGACAAAGAACCATAACAGACTTTTCGAAAGAAGATAGACAAATTGCCAACAGATATATGAAAAACTATTCATCACCAGTCATCAGAGAAATGCAAATCAAAAACACAGCAAGATACCACTTCATGCTTGTTGGAAGGCCTATTAAAAAGACAAAAGATAAGTACTGGTGAGGCTGTGTTGAAAAGGGCATCCTTGCATTCCCATTGTAGATGGGAATGTAAATTAGTACAGCCATCATGAGAAAGAGTATGGAGGCTCCTCAAAAAAATTAAAAATATAACTGCCATATGATCCAGCAATCCCACTGCTGGGTATATATCCAAAGGAAATGTAATCAGTATGTCAAAGAGATACCTGCACTCCCATGTTCACTGCAGCATTATTCACAATAACCAAAATATGGAATCAACCTAAGTGCCCATCAGTGGATGAATGAATAAAGAAAATGTGCCGGGCGCAGTGGCTCACGCCTGTAATCCCAGCACTTTGGGGGCTGAGGCGGGCGGATCACGAAGTCGGGAGATCGAGACCATCCTAGCTAACACGGTGAAACCCCGTCTCTACCATAAACACAAAAAGAAATTAGCTGGGCATGGTGGTGGGTGCCTGTAGTCCTAGCTACTCCGGAGGCTGAGGCAGGAGAATGGCGTGAACCCGGGAGGCAGAGCTTGCAGTGAGCTGAGATTGCGCCACTGCACTCCAGCCTGGGCGACAGAGTGAGACTCCGTCTCAAAAAAAAAAAAAAAAAAAAAAAATTCAGTAATACATACATAGTGGAATACTATTCAGCCTCAAAAATGAAGGCAATCCTGTCATTTGCGACAATACAGAGGGACTTGAGGATATTATGTTAAGTAAAATAAGTCAGACTCAGACAAATATCACGTGATCTCACGTGTGGAATTTAAAAAAGTGGAATTCATAAAAGCAGCGAGTAGAATAGTGGTTAACAGAGGGTGACACAGGACAGAGGTTGAGGGAAATGTTCATCAAAGATAAAAAAAAATTGTAGGAGGAATGTGTAGTTCC
Source organism: Homo sapiens (assembly GCF_000001405.40). Taxonomy (NCBI): domain Eukaryota; kingdom Metazoa; phylum Chordata; class Mammalia; order Primates; family Hominidae; genus Homo; species Homo sapiens. The sequence continues at coordinate 22,164,931 of NC_000002.12, read as the reverse complement.
AGAGATGTATTGCACAACATGGTAACTACTGTTTATAAAAGTGTATTTCATTCTTGAAAAGAGCTAAGACAGTAGATCTGTTAGATCTGTTTTCTCATCACAAAAATAAACTATAAGTATGTGAAGTAACACATATGTCAATTAGCTCAATTTAGCCATTCCACAATGTATACGTATTTCAAAATACTATGTTGTACATGATAAATATATACAATTTTTACTTCTCAATCAAAAAAATTAATTAAATGGTATTTCTAGTCATATTCTCAGTCATATTCTCAGCAAACTAACACAGGAACAGATAACCAAACACCTCATGTTCTCACTCATAAGTGGGAGTTGAACGAAAGCATATGGACACAGGGAGGGGAACATCACACACCGGGGCCTGTTGGGGGCTGGGGGGCAAGGGGAAGTGAGAGCATTAGGACAAATATCTAATGCATGCAGGGCTTAAAACCTAGATGATGGGTTGATAGGTGCAGCAAATCACCACGGCACATATATACCTATATAGCAAACCTGCCTATTCTGCACATGTATCCCAGAACTTAAAGTAAAATTTTAAAAAATAAAAAATAATAATGAAATATTTTTAAGGATGATTTTGTCTTTTTCTCAGTGAGGTAATGTGCTAATGATAGTTAATTTGTGTTCCCACGTGCAAGTGTGGCTCAATGTATTAAACATGCAAAGGGGTAGCTCAGGAGAAGTTCTACATTTAGAAGTTTAGAATATAGAGTGTTCCCAGTCATGACAATGAATGTAAATTTCTTTTTCTGTAAGTGGTATAAAGACATTGAACAAGATTAATAACTAGAGTGACATATGATACACATTTTATACATATTCTAGGTTATGTGCATGTCAAAATGGAAACTGGGAGAACAATGTTTGCAGCTATTGCAGTTCTCCAAGGAAAAGATAATGTTGCTTAGATCAGGGTCCCTAACCCCCAGAGCACGGACCAGTACCAGCAATCATTACCACCTGAGCTCCACCTCCTGTCAGATCAGCTGCAGGATTAGCTTCTCATAGGAGGCTGAACCCTATTGTGAACTGTGCAAGCGAGGGATCTATGCTGCGTACACCTTCTGAGCATCTGACTTATGCCTGATCTGAGGTGGAATGGTTTCATCCCAAAACCATAATCCCCTTGGCTGCCAACACTCAATGTCCATGGAAACCAGGAAACTGGTCACTGGTGCCAAACAGGTTGGAAACCGCTGGTTTAGACTATAGTGGTAGTAGTGCAGATGATAAGGTCAGATGGATTACACATATATTTTGTAGTTAGAGGTAGTGAGACTTGCTGATCTGGAAATGCACTGGAAATTTATTTTTCTTGAAGGAAATATAATTTTTGAGAAAGTCAAGAGACTATACAAACTTTTCTGTATTTGCAAAGCTAGAAATTTGCAAAGGTCTTGGGATTTATCCCTTGTAAATGTCAAGGGTTTTATGATATCTGCTTATTGTAGAAAACTTGAAAAATACAGATGTACCCAAATGTCACTTAGAAGTAGGTGTGCATTGCATCTATGCCACAATTACATTTTTTAAGTACTTCCATTTTTATCTCCTGCAATGTTTTCCCCAGCATAAGCAAGAACATAGACCTCTGAGTACCATCCCCACTATTTTCTCTGAGAATACACAAAAGGGGTGCTGTCTACAACTCTCTAAAGTTTTCCATAGTTCTTCATCCTTTCTTATTTTTCCCTCCAATTTCTAAATTTATCTCCCCCCGATACACACAAACACACACATACACACACACACACACACACACGCTGCTTTACAGCATTTCAGGGCTGCTGCCTCTATAAATTTTGTCAAGTGAACACTACCATCCATGATGGGATATTTTTAAGTGATAATTTTATATTTTTATAGGAAAAAATTTGTTTTTTCACCTTTTGCCACTTACATCTCGTCCCAGTTGTCTCAAGAAGACAATTCAGTCATAATCGGGTCCTCATCTTTCTATTCACATCATTGTATCTAAGTTCTATAGATTATTTCATTTTTTTCTTCATTTATGTTTTTACTACACTAATTGAGATCATCATCTCTTTCTGGCACTACTGAAATGTCTTTCAGAACAGATGTCCCTCCATGTAATCTAGTTGACACCAAATAGCACTCTACAACACAGCCAGAATAAACACCCTGAACTGCTAATCTGACCGCCTCTACCCCTCAACTAGCTTCATTGAAATCCTGAAATCTTTCAGTACCTTCTCACTGCCCTGGAGTGGGAACCCAAGTTTCTCTATTTGCTTTTAGATATTTTTAGGACTTGCCAGTGACTATTTCTACAGCCTCATCTTTTCAATCCATCCCCCTAAAACATGTACCACAAAGTCTAAACATTATTAAAACCATTCACTTCCACACTATGGAAAGGGTCTTTCTTTTCAAAGCCTTCACATGTCTTGATCTTTCTTTCTTTTTTATTTATTTATTTATTTATTATTATTATACTTTAAGTTTTAGGGTACATGTGCACAATGTGTAGGTTAGTTACACATGTATATATGTGCCTTGCTGGTGCGCTGCACCCACTAACTCATCATCTAGCATTAGGTATATCTCCCAATGCCATCCCTCCCCCCCAACCCCACAACAGTCCCCAGAGTGTGATGTTCCCCTTCCTGTGTCCATGTGTTCTCATTGTTCAATTCCCACCTATGAGTGAGAATATGCGGTGTTTGTTTGTTTTTTCTTGTGATAGTTTACTGAGAATGATGATTTCCAATTTCATCCATGTCCCTACAAAGGACATGAACTCATCATTTTTTATGGCTGCATAGTATTCCATGGTGTATATGTGCCAGATTTTCTTAATCCAGTCTATCATTATTGGACATTTGGGTTGTTTCCAAGTCTTTGCTATTGTGAATAATGCCACAATAAACATACGTGTGCATGTGTCTTTATAGCAGCATGATTTATAGTCCTTTGGGTATATACCCAATAATGGGATAGCTGGGTCAAATGGTATTTCTAGTTCTAGATCCCTGAGGAATCGCCACACTGACTTCCCCAATGGTTAAACTAGTTTACAGTCCCACCAACAGTGTAAAAGTGTTGCTATTTCTCCGCATCCTATCCAGCACCTGTTGTTTCCTGACTTTTTAGTGATCGCCATTCTAACTGGTGTGAGATGGTATCTCATTGTGGTTTTGATTTGTATTTCTCTGATGGCCAGTGATGGTGAGCATTTTTTCATGTGTTTTTTGGCTGCATAAATGTCTTCTTTTGAGAAGTGTCTGTTCATGTCCTTCGCCCACTTTTTGATGGGTTGTTTGTTTTTTTCTTGTAAATTTGTTTGAGTTCATTGTAGATTCTGGATATTAGCCCTTTGTCAGATGAGTAGGTTGCGAAAATTTTCTCCCATTCTGTAGGTTGCCTGTTCACTCTGATGGTACTTTCTTTTGCTGTGCAGAAGCTCTTTAGTTTAATTAGATCCCATTTGTCAATTTTGGCTTTTGTTGCCATTGCTTTTGGTGTTTAGACATGAAGTCCTTGCCCATGCCTATGTCCTGAATGGTAATGCCTAGGTTTTCTTCTAGGGTTTTTATGGTTTCAGGTCTAACGTTTAAGTCTTTAATCCATCTTGAATTGATTTTTGTATAAGGTGTAAGGAAGGGATCCAGTTTCAGCTTTCTACATATGGCTAGCCAGTTTTCCCAGCACCATTTATTAAACAGGGAATCCTTTCCCCATTGCTTGTTTTTGTCAGGTTTGTCAAAGATCAGATAGTTGTAGATATGCGGCCTTATTTCTGAGGGCTGTGTTCTGTTCCATTGATCTATATCTCTGTTTTGGTACCAGTACCATGCTGTTTTGGTTACTGTAGCCTTGTAGTATAGTTTGAAGTCAGGTAGCGTGATGCCTCCAGCTTTGTTCTTTTGGCTTAGGATTGACTTGGCAATGCAGGCTCTTTTTTGGTTCCATATGAACTTTAAAGTAGTTTTTTCCAATTCTGTGAAGAATGTCATTGGTAGCTTGATGGGGATGACATTGAATCTGTAAATTACCTTGGGCAGTATGGCCATTTTCACAATATTGATTCTTCCTACCCATGAGCATGGAATGTTCTTCCATTTCTTTGTATCCTCTTTTATTCCCTTGAGCAGTGGTTTGTAGTTCTCCTTGAAGAGGTCCTTCACATCCCTTGTAAGTTGGATTCCTAGGTATTTTATTCTCTTTGAAGCAATTGTGAATGGGAATTGACTCATGATTTGGCTCTCTGTTTGTCTGTTGTTGGTGTATAAGAATGCTTGTGATTTTTGTACATTGATTTTGTATCCTGAGACTTTGCTGAAGTTGCTTATCAGCTTAAGGAGATTTTGGGCTGAGACAATGGGGTTTTCTAGATATACAATCATGTCGTCTGCAAACAGGGACAATTTGACTTCCTCTTTTCCTAATTGAATACCCTTTATTTCCTTCTCCTGCCTAATTGCCCTGGTCAGAACTTCCAACACTATGCTGAATAGGAGTGGTGAGAGAGGGCATCCCTGTCTTGTGCCAGTTTTCAAAGGGAATGCTTCCACTTTTTGCCCATTCAGTATGATATTGGCTGGGGGTTTGTCATAGATAGCTCTTATTATTTTGAAATACGTCCCATCAATACCTAATTTATTGAGAGTTTTTAGCATGAAGGGTTGTTGAATTTTGTCAAAGGCCTTTTCTGCATCTATTGAGATAATCATGTGGTTTTTGTCTTTGGTTCTGTTTATATGCTGGATTACATTTATTGATTTGCGTATATTGAACCAGCCTTGCATCCCAGGGATGAAGCCCACTTGATCATGGTGGATAACCTTTTTGATGTGCTGCTGGATTTGGTTTGCCAGTATTTTATTGAGGATTTTTGCATCAATGTTCATCAAGGATATTGGTCTAAAATTATCTTTTTTGGTTGTGTCTCTGCCCGGCTTTGTTATCAGGATGATGCTGGCCTCATAAAATGAGTTAGGGAGGATCCCGTCTTTTTCTATTGATTGGAATAGTTTCAGAAGGAATGGTACCAGTTCCTCCTTGTACCTCTGGTAGAATTCGGCTGTGAATCCATCTGGTCCTGGACTCTTTTTGGTTGGTAAGCTATTGATTATTGCCCCGATTTCAGATCCTGTTATTGGTCTATTCAGAGATTCAACTTCTTCCTGGTTTAGTCTTGGGAGGATGTATGTGTCGAGGAATTTATCCATTTCTTCTAGATTTTCTAGTGTATTTGCGTAGAGGTGTTTGGAGTATTCTCTGATGTTAGTTTGTATTTCTGTGGGATCGGTGGTGATATCCCCTTTATCATTTTTTATTGTGTCTATTTGATTCTTCTCTCTTTTTTTCTTTATTAGTCTTGCTGGTGGTCTATCAATTTTGTTGATCCTTTCAAAAAACCAGTTCCTGGATTCATTAATTTTTTGAAGGGTTTTTTGTGTCTCTATTTCCTTCAGTTCTGCTCTGATTTTAGTTATTTCTTGCCTTCTGTTAGCTTTTGAATGTGTTTGCTCTTGCTTTTCTAGTTCTTTTAATTGTGATGTTAGGGTGTCAATTTTGGATCTTTCCTGCTTTCTCTTGTGGGCATTTAGTGCTATAAATTTCCCTCTACACACTGCTTTGAATGTGTCCCAGAGATTCTGGTATGTTTTGTCTTTGTTCTCACTGGTTTCAAAGAACATCTTTATTTCTGCCTTCATTTCGTTATGTACCCAGTAGTCATTCAGGAGCAGGTTGTTCAGTTTCCATGTAGTTGAGTGGTTTTGAGTGAGATTCTTAATCCTGAGTTCTAGTTTGATTGCACTGTGGTCTGAGAGATAGTTTGTTATAATTTCTGTTCTTTTACATTTGCTGAGGAGAGCTTTACTTCCAAGTATGTGGTCAATTTTGGAATAGGTGTGGTGTGGTGCTGAAAAAAATGTATATTCTGTTGATTTGGGGTGGAGAGTTCTGTAGATGTCTATTAGGTCCGCTTGGTGCAGAGCTGAGTTCAATTCCTTGGTATCCTTGTTGACTTTCTGTCTCGTTGATCTGTCTAATGTTGACAGTGGGGTGTTAAAGTCTCCCATTATTATTGTGTGGGAGTCTAAGTCTCTTTGTAGGTCACTCAGGACTTGCTTTATGAATCTGGGTGCTCCTGTATTGGGTGCATATATATTTAGGATAGTTAGATCTTCTTGTTGAATTGATCCCTTTACCATTATGTAATGGCCTTCTTTGTCTCTTTTGATCTTTGTTAGTTGAAAGTCTGTTTTATCAGAGACTAGGATTGCAACCCCTGCCTTTTTTTGTTTTCCATTTGCTTGGTAGATCTTCCTCCATCCTTTTGTTTTGAGCCTATGTGTGTCTCTGCACGTGAGATGGGTTTCCTGAATACAGCACACTGATGGGTCTTGACTCTTTATCCAATTTGCCAGTCTGTGTCTTTTAATTGGAGCATTTAGTCCATTTACATTTAAAGTTAATATTGTTATGTGTGAATTTGATCCTGTCATTATGATGTTAGCTGGTTATTTTGCTCGTTAGTTGATGCAGTTTCTTCCTGGTCTCAATGGTCTTTACATTTTGGCATGATTTTGCAGCTGCTGGTACCAGTTGTTCCTTTCCATGTTTAGTGCTTCCTTTAGGAGCTCTTTTAGGGCAGACCTGGTGGTGACAAAATCTCTCAGCATTTGCTTGTCTGTAAAGTATTTTATTTCTCCTTCACTTATGAAGCTTAGTTTGGCTGGATATGAAATTCTGGGTTGAAAATTCTTTTCTTTAAGAATGTTGAATATTGGCCCCCACTCTCTTCTGGCTTGTAGAGTTTCTGCCGAGAGATCCGCTGTTAGTCTGATGGGCTTCCTTTTGAGGGTAACCCGACCTTTCTCTCTGGCTGCCCTTAACATTTGTTCCTTCATTTCAACTTTGGTGAACCTGACAATTATGTGTCTTGGAGTTGCTCTTCTCCAGGAGTATCTTTGTGGCGTTCTCTGTATTTCCTGAATCTGAACGTTGGCCTGCCTTGCTAGATTGGGGAAGTTCTCCTGGATAATATCCTGCAGAGTGTTTTCCAACTTGGTTTCATTCTCCCCGTCACTTTCAGGTCCACCAATCAGACGTAGATTTTGTCTTTTCACGTAGTCCCATATTTCTTGGAGGCTTTGCTCGTTTCTTTTTATTCTTTTTTCTCTAAACTTCCCTTCTCACTTCATTTCATTCATTTCATCTTCCATCGCTGATACCCTTTCTTCCAGTTGATCTCATCGGCTCCTGAGGCTTCTGCATTCTTCACGTAGTTCTCGAGCCTTGGTTTTCAGCTCCATCAGCTCCTTTAAGCACTTCTCTTTATTGGTCATTCTAGTTATACATTCTTCTAAATTTTTTTCAAAGTTTTTAACTTCTTTGCCTTTGGTTTGAATGTCCTCCTGTAGCTCGGAGTAATTTGATCGTCTGAAGCCTTCTTCTCTCAGCTCGTCAAAGTCATTCTCCATCCAGCTTTGTTCCGTTGCTGGTGAGGAACTGCGTTCCTTTGGAGGAGGAGAGGCGCTCTGCTTTTTAGAGTTTCCAGTTTTTCTGCTGTGTTTTTTCCCCATCTTTGTGGTTTTATCTACTTTTGGTCTTTGATGATGGTGATGTACAGATGGGTTTTTGGTGTGGATTTCCTTTCTGTTAGTTTTCCTTCTAACAGACAGGACCCTCAGCTGCAGGTCTGTTGGAGTGCCTGGCCATGTGAGGTATCAGTCTGCCCCTGCTGGGGGCTGTTTCCCAGTTAGGCTGCTCAGGGGTCAGGGGTCAGGGACCCACTTGAGAAGGCAGTCTACCTGTTCTCAGATCTCCAGCTGCATGCTGGGAGAACCACTGCTCTCTTCAAAGCTGTCAGACAGGGACATTTAAGTCTGCAGAGGTTACTGCTGTCTTTTTGTTTGTCTGTGCCCTGCCCCCAGAGGTGGAGCCTACAGAGGCAGGCAGGCCTCCTTGAGCTGTGGTGGGCTCCACCCAGTTGGAGCTTCCCAGCTGCTTTGTTTACCTAAGCAAGCCTGGGCAATTGCGGGTGCCCCTCCCCCAGCCTTGCTGCCGCCTTGCAGTTTGATCTCAGACTGCTGTGCTAGCAATCAGTGAGACTCCGTGGGCATTGGACCCTCCCAGCCATGTGTGGGATATAATCTCCTGGTGGGCCGTTTTTTAAGCCTGTCAGAAAAGCGCAGTATTAGGGTGGGAGTGACCTGATTTTCCAGGTGCCGTCTGTCACCCCTTTGTTTGACTAGGAAAGGGAACTCCCTGACCCCTTGCACTTCCCAAGTGAGGCAATGCCTCGCCCTGCTTCGGCTCGAGCACGGTGTGTGCACCCACTGACCTGCTCCCATTGTCTGGCACTCCCTAGTGAGATGAACCCAGTACCTTAGATGGAAATGCAGAAATCACCCGTCTTCTGCGTCGCTCACACTGGGAGCTGTAGACCTGAGCTGTTCCTATTCGGCCATCTTGGCTCCTCCCCCAGATCTTTCTTTCTAAAGGAATATTTCTTACACATCTTTAGGACTTCATTGTTAATATCTCTTCCTCTATAAAACTTTTCAAAGTAATACTCTGTATTATTCTGTTATACCATTTATTACATTTACATTGTTGATTGATTTATCATTTATAGACCCCACTATACTCCATGAGGACTGGGCATCTCTCTTGCCAAGAACCTCATAGGCACAGGACAAATATTTATTGACTTGTTGTTGTGTTGTAGTCTTTTGTGCCAACATTTCTCCCTCGTCATCTGAATACAAGCCACCAAGTAACTATGTGCATTTTATGGAGAAGGCAAAAGTATCTCTCCTAGAAACTGGTGGAGTATGTGTTCCCTCACCACATTTCTCTGCCACATTGGAAAATGTACTGAGAAAAACAATTAAAGAAGAGAAAAACACCCAATATCTACTTGCTGTATTTCCTCCGGTATCCTATTTTTATCAGATAGATAAATAGGTAGAAAGTATAGTCAGTTCCAGAGATCTAGAGATGATACAGAGCTAGATAAATAGAAAATAATAGTTATGCTTGAAAGCATACTGCATGTGATAATGTGTATAGTTTTTTGTTCTTTTTGTTTTTTTTCATTTTCTGTGTGTGTGTGTGTGTGTGTGTATGTGTGTGTTTTAACATTATTCAGGAGACCTTTTCCATTTAATTGAAAATTGTTTCTAATGGCCACATGATATTCAAATATAAAATGCACATTATTTAGCTTTCTTTTTTTTTTTTTTTTTTTTTGAGATGGAGTTTTGCTCTTGCTGCCCAGGCTGTAGTGAAATGGTGCAACCTTGGCTCACTACAACCTCCGCCTCCCAGGTTGAAGCAATTTTCCTGCCTCAGCCTCCTGAGCAACTGGGATATAGGCATGCACCACCATGCCCAGCTAATTTTGTATTTTTTTTTTTTAGTAGAGACAGGGTTTCTCCATGTTGTTCAGGCTGGTCTCAAACTCCCAACCTCAAGTGATCTTCCCGCCTCAGCCTTCCAATTCTTTAGCTTTCATATTCAGTAACATATATTATTTCCATTTTTTGTTATAAATAATCCAATAGCAATAATTTCTGTCAAAATAGTTTCCTAAATCTGGATGTTATATTAACATTTCACACTCCTGTGATCCTTTGCACTGGTGCCTGGTCTTCTAATGGGAACTTAAGAATAGTTTGGTGCACTTCCATTGAGATTCATTTATACAGGCTAACCTTCCTCTTTGCTAATTCTTAGTGAACGTCTCCAGTTTGGTATAGCAGCATGCAAGCTATTGAGTCTGAAGACATCAATTCATTGGAGTTGTGTGAGCTTGAAAATTCACTTAGTTTCCTCATTCTGATAATAATAATTACCTTACTCCTCTCCTACTGCTGCACAGGTTTTTGTTTCATGTTTTAAAATTTTGCTGTGTGTTATATGACCATGAAGGAATAAAATATAAGTAACTGCATCTTAACTAACATTATGTGTATTTATAAAAATGGTTAATAAATTTTGTTTTACTTGAAATGATTTTATGCCCTTTGTATCACTTGGATTAATTTCAGATGCTCGATTCATACAGTGTGTTTGGATGGTATCCAGAGTCTCAGGGTTGGCAAATAGATTCTTTCCAGTTTTACTCCAAATGACAGCTATAGTCTCTCTCTCTCTCTGTGTGTGTGTGTGTGTGTGTGTGTGTGTGTGTGTGTGTGTGTATTCTGTTCCAGATGTACTTACCTTCCCAAGTTTTACAAAATTTCAAGGTTCTTTCAGCACATGATGTCTTTCCACAAGCTTGTTTGTCTACTTGGAATGCCATCTACCATTTCCCCCTCTCCATTGGCAAATTGACACACATCAAAGATTGAAAGATATTGGCAGATCATCTTCCAGATAAGTTTTAAAAGGCTGTGTGTGTGTATGTGTGTGTGTGTATGAAACGTATCATAATAGCTGAATATATGTAATTTTTCAGAGTGTATGTGTATGAATGAGCATGCATACATATGTATGTCTATCAGTGTGTGCATGTGTAAGAGACAGTCTGTAGGGGAATATGTATATTGAGGATTAAAAGAAAATGCACTTTTTCCCAGAGTTTCTTTATGACAAAGCTTTCAGCCTGTGAATTTCTAGCTAATGGCAAATTGAGGACAGGATTGTGCTTCTCCTTAGGCTTTTACTCAGAAGGCAAATGGATGATAGGTTCCTGAAAGTCACTACATCTGCATTGCCCATGGCCATGTGAAGCTGTCAGTTTCGTATCAGGAGATGACCTCACACAGCAAGGTGCAGGTGCTTCACTGTATTAGTTATAACAGTACATTGGAGAGGGAGAACAGACAGGCATTATTGTAAGGAAAATTAACAACCAGTGTCTGGGAGAGAAAGAATTGAAAATGACAGGCCAGTTTTAAGAGACCTTTTGTTTGGGCATACATTATTCACCTAGAAATGGACACAATTACTGAAAATTAGAAATGAAACTGGGCTTTATACAATGAAATGAGATAATTTCCCGGCCAAAACAAGTGGGCTCACGTTGAAAGGAAAGCCATTAAAATATACCTAAGCAGTGAGTTAATGGAGGAGAAATTCAATTTGAAAATGAGAGAACATTTTCAGATAGAAAGGGCAGGCAGTGGAACAGTGTGCTTAATGAGGTACAGTAGATATATTCAAGTTTAATCTAGATAATTTTAGATAATTATAGAAAATGCTTAAGATATTTTTCCTGCTTTTTTCTGATGCCAAGTATTTGACTGGAAAAGAAAAAGAAATCCTATTATCTGTTGTTTTGTATAACGTCTATTTTTAAAAACTGAAAAGTTTAAAGAGTTTTTCTCTAGGTTACTATATGTCAATCCATAAAAGGACTCTGCATTGTTGTCAAATACAGTAGTCCCCCTTATCTGTGGTTTTGTTTTCTGCTGAGGTCAACTGCAGACTGAATACATTAAATGGAAAATTCCAGAAATAAACAATCAAATAGTTTTGAACCACACGCTGTGCTGAGTAGTGTGTTGAAATCTCACACAGTGCTGCTCCATCCTTCCCAGGATGCGAATCCTCCTTCATCCAGCATCTCCAAGCTGTCTATGTGTCTTGCCTGTTAGTCAGTAGCCATCGTGGTGATCAGATCAAGTGTCATGGTACTGCAGTGCTTGTGTTCAAGTAACCCTTGTTTTACTTAATAATTGCCCCAAAGCCCAAGAGTTCCATCTCTAATAATAAATTAAACCTTATCATAGGTATGTATTAGAGGGCAAATCTTAGTATATATAGGGTTCAGTACTATCCATGGTTTTATGCATTCACTGGGTGTCTTGGAACATATCCCCAAAGAATAAAGGGGAACTACTGTAATGCTTGACAAAGAACATCCAGGATTTTTATTGCTCCTAATTTCTCCACTTCTATATAAAGAATCTCATATTGGTTATTACCCCTTCTTTCTCTTCACTCATGAGTTGTAAGTCTGTGCTAGGAAATCACGTGCTGGGAAATGACCATTCTCTGACACTCAAAGGTGGCTTCAAGGCTGATGATGAGATTTTCCAAATCTTATCTCACTCCAAATATATATATTAGTCTCTTTGAATTAGGATGACTAACTAGCCATAGGTAGTATGTGCCTCATCTACAGAGAGGGTCCAGGAAAGTAAGTAGATACTCAAATTTTGAATAGATTGTCTAGGAGATAATGCTAGGATTCATCAGAGAAGAGACAGAAACACCAGAAGTAAGAAAAAGGTTCAAGGCAGCAATCCCCACAGGGAACTTACTGAGAGCCAGGAGAGGCTTCTGGACAGAGGGAAACAGTAAGAGACAAACCCCTAGGGCTTGGAATTTATGATCTTGGCTATAGGAGAAACCATGGACCCACTAGAGCCTTGGGCCTGACACATAGAGTTGCCTAAATATTGCACAGAGACGTTGCTCCAGAAAGGGAACTCACACAAAATCCAGTAGGTATTCAAGTCTGGAGCAGCCTCAGCCAGGCACCATTTTGAGAGCCTAGGTACCAGAGATCTACAGACACGGCTGCTGCTGCTACACTGCTCACAAGAGGGAGAGAGGAGACTGAAAAAAACCACGCCCCACTGGCAGGGTCCCTACCACCCTGCTGTAAGCTGCTGTTGAGACTGAGATGTGAGCGGACCACACTCTACACAGCTTCTTCTCCACACTGCTTACCTGGAACGGACCCAGCCCTCAACAGTCCCAGGCCCAAGGCACCATTTTGAGAGTTTAATGCTAGGCTGTGCCTTACCCTAAGGCTGAGTTCAGCCTGACTTGGTTGCAGCTGCCTTCTGGCCAAAGACGAACAGATAACCAGACTCTCTTACACATCTAGGACAATACTCACAGCCCTACAATGGGCTTCTGTGAGACTGAGATGTGGGGTGACCACACACCCCACAGCTTTCTCCCCACACTGCTTGTCTGGGAGGGGTTCCACTCTCCCCACTTTCTGATCCAAGGAGCCATTTTGAGAGAGTAGGGCTGGGTTGCACCCTGTCCTCAGGCTGAGTTCATGTCCACCTGGCTGAGGAAGAACAATAAAACCAGGCTCTCCTATACATACCTAGAACAATTACCCAACACCATGCTACAAGCTGCTGTGAGGCCGAGACTTGGGCAGACCACACTCCCTATAGCTTCTTGGCCATGCTGATGGCCTGAGGGATGGATCACCCTCTGTGGTCACAAGCTCACATCTGGCACCATTTTGAGTATTTAATGCTTGGCTGTGCCTCCGCACTTGGGCTGAATTTGAGGTGACATGACATGGCTGCACAACCACACAGCTGGAGGAAGGACAGCAGAGACCAAGCTCTCCTAAGCACACTTAGGACAATACCTACTTCCCTGCTACAGGTGGTTGTGGGAATGGGGATTAGCCTGCCCCCAGTCATCACAGCTATCAGGAACACTACCATGTACTGCTTGGGTCCCCGTGGGTTGCTCCACTACTGCTACTGCCATCACCTGCACCACACCAGCTGACCAGAGGCCTGAAAACTCTCCCGTAAAAGCAGTGTGGCCCACTGCTCCCACTGGTCCCACTACTAGCTTCTAAGAAAGCCACCCGGAAGCACCAGAATCAGCCCTCCAGGAACCACTAACACGGAAACCAGTCTAAGTTTCTCCAGACAGACACCAGGTACATTTACCCCACTGCTGTCACCACTAGGGCCCAAAGACTGGCTCAAGTGGTGTCCCAGTCCCCAACAAAACTTAACCACAACTTAAAGTAATAACTGTGCCCTATGCCACCAAGGAAATCATACATACCATTGACCCTGTGTGCTGCCAAAGAAGTCATATAAAGATCACACTACCATGGGCACCCAAAATCAAAGCCAGATTATCTTTCTGAATCAATAAGACATATACATCCTCAGGAAAAAAATTCTCCCCTACAAAAACAAGTTCAAAAAATTGGAACAGGCCAGGCGAGGTGGCTCACGCCTGTAATCCCAGCACTTCGGGAGGCTTAAGTGGTCAGATCATGAGGTCAGGAGATTGAAAGCATCTTGATTAACACTGTGAAACCCCTTCTCTACTAAAAATACAAAAATTTAGCCGGGCGTGGTGGTGGGTGCCTGTGGTCCCAGCTACTCAGGAGGCTGAGGCAGGAGAATGGCATGAAGCCAGGAGGCGGAGCTTGCAGTGAGCTGAAATGGGGCCACTGCACTCTAGCCTGGGTGAAAGAGAGAGACTCTGTCTCAAAAAAAAAAAAAAAATTGGAACATGTGAATGCTACACCAGATGCACATATATCAATGGAAAGACACAGGAAATATGAAAAAGCAGGGAGATGTGACACAACCAAAGGACCACAACAATCGTCCAGCAACAGATTCTAATCAAAAAGAGTTCCTTAAAATGTCAAATAATTCAAAATACTGATTTGAAAAAGCTCAATTTGATGTAAAAGAAATATAATAACCAATACAAAGAAATCAGAAAATCAGTTCAGCATATGAATAAGAAATTTACCGAGGAGATAGGTATCTTCATATAAGGAAAACATACAGAAATTCTTTATCTAAAAACTCATTTTAGAAAATATAAAATACATTCAAAAGCTTCAGTAATAGACTAGACCAAGTAGAAAAAAGAATCTCAGAATTTGAAGAGAGGTCTTTTAAAATAATACAGACAAAAATAGGGAAAAAATAATAACAAAAAAACAAATTCTTTGAGATTTCTGACACTACATAAAGTTACCAAACATAGGAATTATTGGTATTTCCAAGACAAAAGGAGAGATCAAAAAGTTGAGAAAACCTATTTAAGAAAACATTTGATGAAAACTTCCCTCATCTAGAAAGATAGACATGTAGATACAGGAAGTCCAGCAATCTTAGGCAAATAGATTGCAAAAAGGATTTCACCAGAGCACATTACATTCAGAATGTGTAAAGTAGAAGTGAACAAAATAATTCTAAAATTAGTAAGAGAAAAGCATCTACCTACCCATAAAGGAAACTACATCAGACCAGCAACAAACTTTTCAGCAGAAACTTTATAGGCCAGAAGAGAATGAGACTGCATTTTGAAAGTGCTAAAAGTAAAAGAAAAAACAAACCTGTTACTCAAGAATTTTATGTCTTGTCAGAATAAGCTTCACAAATGAAGAAATAAAGTTTTTTTCAAACAAGCAAACACTGAGAGAATTTTTCACCACAAGACCAATTCCACAGGAAATGCTCAAAGGGCCCTTAAACATGGAAATGAAAGGTCAATATTCATTATCATGAAAACACATGGAAATATAAGTTTCATAGTTCTTGTAAAACAATCACACAAAGGAGAAAGAAAAATCAAATGGCAACATGACAGAATTTCATCAAACCACAAGGACAAAAGACAGGGAAATAAAAGAAACAAAATGAATAAAACAATGTGAAAACAATTAATATTATGGGAACAAAGCCTCACATATCAATATTAATATTGAATGTAAATGAATAAAATGCTCTACTTAAATGATACAGTTTGGCAGAATGAATTTAAATAAAAACATAAACCAACTATATGCTGCCTACAAGAAACTCACATTTCCCATAAAGACACACACAAACTGGAAATAAAGGAGTGGAAAAAGATATTTCATACAAATGGAAACGAAAAGTCAGCAGTAGCCATACTTAGATAAAATAGACTTAAATCAAAAAAGGTAATAAAAGACAAAGATAATGATATCTATAATGATAAAGGGTTCAGTGCAGCAAGAAGATGTAACAATCCTAAATATAAATGCACCCAACATCAGAGTACCAAAATTCACACACAAACTTGATCTAAAGAAAGAGATAATAATAGTGGGAGAGTTCAATACCCCACTCACAGCACTAGCCAGATCATCAGGATAGAAAATTGACAAAGAAACATTGTAGTTAAATTGGACTTTAGACCAAATGGATTTAACCAACATTAATGAACATTCCACTACACAACACCACCATATAACTTATTTTCATTGGCATATGGAACATTCTCCAAAATAGATCACACGCTAGGCCCCAAAACAAGTCTCAACAAATTTTTAAAAATCAAAATCATATCAAGTATCTTCTCAGATCACAATGGAATAAAGCTAGAAATTAATACCAAGAGGAATTTTAGAAAATATACAAATATATAGAATTAAACAGGGTGCTCTTTCATGATCACTGAATCAACAAGATGAATGTTTTTTAATTGCAACTAACAAAAATGAAAACACAACATACCAAAACCTGTGGGATATAACAAAAGCAGTGCTGAGAGGAAAGGGTTTAGCAATAAATGCTTATATTAAAAAAGTAGAAATATCACAAATTAACAACCTAACATCACGTCTCAAGGAACTAGGAAAACAAGAACAAACCAAATCTAGAGTTAGCAAAAGAAAAGAGGTAACAAAGATTAGAGCAGAGCTAAATAAAATACAAACAAAAAACAATAAGGATCAATGAAACAAAAAGTTGGTTTTTCAAAAGATGAATGATATTGTTAAACCATTAGCTAGAGTAAACAAGAAGAGAGATTATTAAAAAAAAACATAATCAGAAATGAAAAAGGTGACATTACAACTGATTCTACAGAAATATAAAACATCATCAGAGCCTATTACAACCATATGCTCACAAACTAGAAAACCTAGAGGAAATGAAGAAATTTCTGGAAACATACAACCTCATGCGATAGGACCAGAAATACATAAAAGTCCTGAACAGACCAATAAAGAGCAGTATTACTAATTCAATAATGAATCAGTAATTAAAAAACAATCTCCTAATAAAACAGTCCAGGACCAAATTCTGCCATACATACAAAGAAGAGCTGTTACTAATCCTCCTGAAACTATTCCAAAATTCAAGGGGAGGAAATTATTCCTACCCTATTTTGTAAGACCAGTACAACTTGATACCAAAACCAGATAAAGATACAACAAAAATGAAAACTACAGACCAGTATTCCTGATGAACATAGATGCAGAAATCCTCAATAAAATACTAACAAATCAAATCCAACAGCACATAAAGAAGATAATACACTGTGATGAGCTGGAATTTATTCCAGGGATGCAAGACATATTTGAATTAATAAATGTGATACATCACATAAATAGAATTAAGGACAAAAACCATATGATTATCTCAATAGACATAGAAAAAGCATTTGATAAAAATTGTACCCTTAAGAAACTAGGCATAGAAGAAACATACTTCAACATAATAAAGACAATATACCACAAACCCACAGCCAACATCATACTTAATGAGGAAAAGCTGAAATCAATTCCACTAAGAACTGGGACAAGACAAGCATGCCCACTTTTACCGTTCTTATTCTACATAGTACCAGAAAACTTCACCCAGCAATCAGTCAAGAGAAAGAAAATAAAAGGCATCCAAATTGGAAAAGAGGAATTAAAGTATCCCTGTTCACTGAGGATATGATCTTATATCTATAAACCTTTTAAAGACTCCACCAAAAAACTCTTAGATTTGATGAATGAATTCAGTAAAGTTTCAGGATCAAATATTAACATACAGAAATCAGTAACACCTCTATATACCAGTAATGATCTACTTAAGGACCAAATCAAGACAGTAATGCCATTTAGAGTAGCTACAAAGTAAAGTACCTAGGAATATATTTAACCAAGGAGGTCAAGATCTTTATAAAGGGAACTACAACGCAATGATACAATAAATCATAGATGATACAAACAAATTGGAGAACATCCCATGGTCATGTACCATAATGTACAAGTATGGTTAAAAAGACCATACTTTGCAAAGCAATCCACAGATTCAACACAATCCTGGTCAAATTACCATTGTTATTTTTCACAGAATTATTTTAAGAATCATAGAATTTATATGGAATCAAAAAAGAGCCCAAATATCCAAATCAATCATAAGTACAAAGATCAAAGCTGGAGGCATCACATTATCTGACTTCAAATTATATTACAAGGCTATAGTAACTAAAACAGCATGGTACTATTATGAAAATAGATACATAGATCAATGAAACAGAATAAACCCAGAATAAAAGCCACATACCTAAAACCAACTGATATAAGTCTGAGCCCATATATCTCACCATATTAAAAAAATTAGTTCAGGATGTATTAAAGACCTAAACATAAAACCTGAAAGTACATAAATTCTAGAAGAAAACCCAGGAAAAAATCTTTTGGACATTGGCCTAGGCACACAATTTATGACAGTCCTCAAAACCTAATGCAATAAAAATAAAAAAAGGCAAATGGGAATTAATTAAAATATTATCCACAAAAGAAGTAACAATCAACAAAGTAAACAGACAACTCACAGAATGGAAAAATATTTGCAAACAATGCATTCCACAAAGGGATAATACCCAGAATTTACAAGGAACCCAAACAGCTCAGCAAGAAAAAAAACTAATAATCCCATTACAAAATGGGCAAAGAACATGAACGGGCATTTTTCAAAAGAGGACGTACTAGCAGCCCACAAACATATGAAAAAATGCTCAATATCACTAATCATCAGAGAAGTGAAAATTAAAACCAAAATGAGATACCATCTTATACCAGTCAAAATAGCTATTATTAAGAAGAAAACAACAGACGTTGGCAAAGATGCAAAGAAAAGGGAGTTCTTATCCACTGTTAATGGGAATGTGAATTAGTACAACCTTTGTGGAAAACAGTTTGAAGATTTCTCAAAGAACTAAAAATGGAACCATTCAATCCCTCAGTCCCACTACTGGATATATATACTCAAAAGGAAACAAACATTAGATCAAAAATATGCCTGTGCTAGTATGGTTATCACACCACTATTTACAATACCAAAGATATGGAAGCAACATAAGTGTCCATCAATAAAAGACTGGATAAAGAAAATGTGTCCCATATGTATTATGGAATACTACTCAGCCATAAAAAGAATGAAATAATGTCTTTGCATCCACATGGATGAAACTGGACACCATTCTCCTAAGTGGAATATTTCAAAGTCAAATATGTCATGTTCTTGCTTATAAATAGGAACTAAGCACTGGGTACACATGGATATATAGAGTGGACTAATAGACACTGGAGACTCCAAAAGCTGGGAGGTGGGAAAGGACTTGAAAGGGAGTTGAAAAAAATATCTATTGGCTATACTCTTTGCTATTTGAGTGATGTGTACACTAGAAACCAAGACTTCATCACTATATGGTATATGCATATAAGAAATTCATACTTGGGCTGGGCATGGTGGCTCATGCCTGTAAGCCCAGCACTTTGGGAGACCGAGGTGGGTGGATCACATGAGGTCAGGAGTTCAAGACCAACCTGACCAACATGGTGAAACCCCGTCTCTACTGAAAATGCAAAATTGGCCGGGTGTGATGGCACACTCTTTTTGAGTGAAACTCCATCTCAACAAGGTCAGGAGTTTGAGACCAGCCTGGTCAACATGGTGAAACCCCATCTCTACTAAAAATACAAAAAAAAAACAAAATAGCCGAGTGAGGTGGCTCATGCCTGTAATCCCAGCTACTCGGGAGGCTAGGACAGGAGAATCACTTGAACCCGGGAGGTGGAAGTTGCAGTGAGGCAAGATCGCACCACTGCACTCCAGCCTGGGTAACAGAGCAAGATTCTGTCTTGGGCGGGGTTGGGGGAGAAAGAAAAGAAAAGAAATTTGCACTTGTACCCCCTAAATATATAAAAATTTTAAAAAGTTATAAAAAACCACATGAACGTATCTGAGAAGATAACATCTCAAAGTTATCTTCTCCAAGACCACAAATTTTACCTTTCTAAATGTGGTCTAGAGATCAGTTCTTGGGTGTGGATGCTGAAGTGACAAGCCCCACATCTGGTATTTATGTCTAAGGCACACATTCTGGAAAACCTCAGACACCAAAACCGGCTGATGATGACTCTCAAGGCACTGACACTAAGCTTCCTATCCTGTGATAATAACCACACAGACCATGGCAATGCATTTCTTCCACAAATAATTTATCATATGAAAAAAATGCCAACTTTCTCTTCCATAATATAGTGGACTTTATTTACATTTACAATTAAGGCTACCCTATCCCTACAGTGTGATGAGCTGCTATTCTAGTTCTTAACCATAAGAGAGAGAATCTCTCTGTAATTATCTTTCTTTTGGCCCCTACCTTTTATTTCTGAAACTCAATAGGAGCTGCTGGAATCTCAGAAGTGACATAGCATACCAGCTAGTCAAAATAAAAGAAGTTGCTATTAAGTTCAGTTTATATAAATCTCATACCATACTTCCTACCCAGAAACAAAATAAAAAATCAACAATGTCCATATATTCGGTGTAGTTGCTTTTTTGCTTGCTTGCCTACCAATACAGATATTACCCAACAATGAGCAGTATAGAGTGGATTAAAGAAAGTTTGTATCTATATTCACCACTATGGACAGCCTCCGGAGCAGCAGAGATCTATAGGTGGCTCCAGCAGGTAACATGAAAGTTTATCTCTTAATGGATCATAAACATTCAGAACAGAATCTACACAGATAAGAAGACCTTGCTCTGGGTCACACTAACAAGACAGCAGGATCCAATGGCCACAGGTCCTCTCATTATAATTGAATTTCCTTCTCTTATATTTTTGTTAGTAGTAGGCCCAAATGCATTTTCTTTGATACAAGGAGTTTGAAGACACAATGGAGCTTAATGTGTAAATTCCTTCCATTGGCCAAAAGCCTTTTCTTGAAGAACATAACTTAGTGTGTTTACAAGTTTTAAAAGCAGAGCAGTTCCCTACCCACTGTTCCTGTGCCCATCCTGTTATTTCCATCTGTATAGCAGAATCCTCACTAGCATAACACTCCTGGCCATTCACTTGCCCCTCTGTTACCTCCTCCCAGGAGGGGAAGGAGAGCTTACCTTATTAGTGAGTTTTGAAAGACAATAACAAGCATGTAAGATCCACCTCCTTTCTCTTTCCTTTCTCCTGGAAGTTGGCAGATACTCTACTCTATGTCATAAGGTTGATTGGGATAGACCCCTCTCCCTCCACTGATAAGGCTGGCAGTTTCAGTAGTGTGTCCTCATGTCCTTACATATGGGTAGTAAACCTTGAGAAGAATTGTGAAGCATAATGTTGCAAGTGGACAAATACTGAAGAATCCAGGGCACATGGTGTCTTATCTTCATGGCTTTCTTTAATATTTGTTTAGAGTAATTTCTGTGTACTTACGAAACTTTTAATTTTCAGCCAGGTATGTAGGTCACTAAGAGTTTTTTTACAAATCTCTGAGATTTTACTTACCATCCTTCACCAGGGCGAGGTAAGATCAATTAGGAAATTACATGTTTTGATTTTTTATTTTTATATTAACATACCCCTTAGGTTGTATTCCTTATCAGTTGATTATGCTTGTGAATATTGAAGATCCAAATAGCAGCCCTAGTCACAGTAATTCAATACATTTTGTAATTGAATAAAATAAAAATGGAGCCTCCTATGAGGTTTGGATATATAACCTTCACTTGGATAAAGGTAGAAGAGAGCTGATCATAAACATTTTAACCACCTCTTTAAATGTTATTCTTCAAGAAAGTTTACACCTGGGTGAGTTAATCTTGGGACTATTAGCCTGGCACAGGGACAGTCTTAGGGCATAGGAAAGTAGCAGAGAAATTGAAGAAGGTTTCCGATGAATATGAGATGGTGTTTTAAGAAACGTCTATCTTTGAAAATGAGGACAATTTAGGAAAATAAGTTAAAAGAATATATATATTTATATATTTTCTCTAATATATAAATGTATATATGCATATAAGTGTATATACATATAAATGTATATAATACACATATATAATACATATATTCCCTATAATGTATATTCTCTTTATATATAAATATATATATTTACATAAATATATGCATATATAAATGTATAATACATATATAAACATATACTTATAGAAATTATATAAACATATATATTTCAAAGACAAGGTTTTAAAGGCCATAATTCAAATGAAAAGGATATAAAAATATACTGAGGACACTATATACCAAAACTTAACTACTTTTAAGGTTTTTTCTGAACAAGGGGAAAATTTTTTTCTTGATAACAGGGTCAGCAAAAGTGATTGGGGCTTAAGAAAACCTCACAGAATAATACAATAAAGATGACAGTGATCAAGCTGAAATGATTTCCACAGATAGATCTAAGAATCAGAAAATTACTTTAAAATGCCATTTCAAAGCAACAGATAAAGTACACGTTAAGTGCTAGTGGAAAACTGCCTTCTTGAATATTGTGATAATTATAACAACAGATTCTATACTATTTTAACAAATGCAATAGGAAAAGACCAGGAGTAACAGTGTAAAATCCTCAAATTATTGTTGAGTGAGTTTCAAAGTAAATTGATCATTGTGAATAGAGACACAGGTATGAAGTGTTTTATCAGGCAATATGCTATGGTAATTTTATGAAATTACAAGTATGAGGCAAGATAAAAGATAAATGATATGAACTAGGGGGAGACTATCAGATTTCAACAAGTTGAACCTGGGCTGGAGCTACATTTTGGATTGAGAGAGGAATAACTCTTAGATGGAATTACACTGCTCGGGATAACAAGGCAGAAATATTTTGACAGAAACAGAAATGAAAGCAACACATTTCTTGCTATAGAGGACCCCAGTAGAGTCTGAGATGTATATTATAAAGAAAAACATAAAAGAACATTCAACAGAGAAAATTAAACATAGCTGCTTTCTCAACCATCTAAACAATGACACGTTTATAAATCAAGAGGAGCCTTAAGGAATAGTGGGAGGGCAACATCCAAGTTGGAAGAACAGGCAGAATTAGGTTGATAGATGTTTAGGGATATCAGGAAATTGAAGACACCCAAATATGACTGAATGAGGTCAAGCACTATTTGGAGAGCAAATAACTGAAGTTGTCCAAATTATGAATCAATGTATTTTGCCTGTAGAATTGCCTGTCATCGATATAAACACCCCACTGTCAGGAGAATGCAGCATCAGTAGAAATGTTGTGGACACAGACTGGAGAAAGAAAACTTGATAATAGAAAATCAGGCACTTGAATGCTCTGAGGAATTGCAGGACCGAAGATAGGGTAGCCCATTATTTCCATTCTGGAACTTTGCTAGGGCCAGAGTATGGGCAACTGAAAAAAGTAAATGTTGATGCTGTGTCCTCAGTTAGTGTGATTACATCAACCGTTCTGGAGAATGAGATGGGCATGCCCATCTTCCTTTTCTTTCTCTTATTCTTCTCTTCTTCTCCCTATTCCTCCTCCTCCTGTTTCCTTTTCCTTCTCCTCCTCCTCTTTTTTCTTCTGCCTTCCTCATTCCCTCCTTTTCCATTTCTTCCCTCTCCTTTGTCTTTTCTCCCTTTAAAGGAACACCAAAATGTCTAACTTCATATTTTCAGGAATAAATATAATAATATAAGAAATGATAACAGAGTTAACATTTTCTAAGATTGACTTGAAAATAAAATATTTTTGTTAATTTTCTCAGGCTTTGACACAATTTTATTTTGGAAAATCTGATAAAACGATTTGTATTTAAATTGGGTGATATCTTTATTGGCATTTGCATAAATCTTGATGTTGTCATTTGATTTCATTACAGAATCTCTG
This sequence comes from Homo sapiens, assembly GCF_000001405.40. NCBI lineage: Eukaryota > Metazoa > Chordata > Mammalia > Primates > Hominidae > Homo > Homo sapiens. Next base: position 22,141,275 of record NC_000002.12, on the reverse strand, counting down.
ACAGACTGCTTTGGACAAAGTTGCTTAAAATATTTTGGAATGGGAAATAGGAACACTTCCAGCCTTGGATACAGTATGGATCTATTATAGATGTGATTAATGTACTGTTCTAATCTATTTTAGGTTTGTAGGGGCAAGATCTATATTCTCCAGTAGTATTTTAGGAAGATAATCAAGGGGGATAATTTTATTATGGGGCAAGTGGTTTCATCAGAGCAGAGCATAAATGCCAATTTCCTTCAGAGTAACCACATCTTTGGTTGACTATAAGCTTAATGGCCAAACCCAGTGAATTAAGAGATGGAAAGACATGGAATATTTGGAGGAAAATACTTCTTCTCAAATTAGTGTTTTCTTATGTGGTTTAAGGCCTTATGATTACACCAAATCTTGCCCTTTACTATTCCCATATAGAGGTGGATTAAGTTCTCATATTAGTGAGTTTGAGAGAGGACCTGAATTCAGGTAGCCAACCCTCCTTTCTCTCTTACTTTGAGACACAGGCTGACTGCAGAGCACACATGCATTTCATTGCTTTTGACTGTGCACAGAGCACAGAGAAAGTAGGCTTTTTCTCATGAGGGTTGGGGTGATATGGTGATTCTCGGAATGAGTTCATTTTGGGGGAATTGTCAACAGTAAGAAGTAACAGAAAGGTTAAGTTGTCTTTATAGAGCATCTCTGCCTATGTTGGAGCAATATGATAAACTCTACTTAACAAAGTGATGGTATTACGGGAAAATGGTGTAGGCTCTATGACATAGGTATGAAACTGTGCTACTGATTCCATAGACTTAAAGGCAAGACCTAAAACCAAGAGCTAATTCAAACAGAAATAGATGACAGCTCAATGTCAGAGCAGGCATTCAAAAATACATAAAATGGTCCAACAAATTGTGAGCAAGACAATATCCTTTTAGAAGTGCTGAGTGTAATGGTGGACATATTAAATATACAGCTGAATAATTTTAAACATTCTACTTAACTGAAAGCTTTTGGAGAGCTTGGAAATATAATCTATCCTTGCAAAGCCCCACTTATGGAAAATAGACTAAAAAGAAGGTGAATGTCCCCTAACTTGCACATCCCACATGGGACAGTCAGGTGAGGTGAGGTTGCCATCAAAAGTAATTCTTTAAAGAGATTCTAGTCATAATCAATGAGTAGCAATAACCTATTGAAACCATCATTGTTTTCAGAGAAAATTATTTTAATATATTTACCAGCTGTCTTTTCACCCTATCAGGGAGAGGTACCATCTACAGAGAACTGTATGTTTACTTCAAAATATTATCTAGATTAGCACCAAAACAAAGTAAACTATATTTGCAAAATTTTTAGTTATTAAGTAATCAGTATGATAGAATTAGTTATGTTAACAAATTTTTACATAGCACTTAACCAATTACAGTTATATTTAAGTATGACTTTTGATAATGCAAAATATATCTACTTTATTTAATTCAATAAAAACCATACATATTTAGATGTTTTGAATTTTAAAATAATACACCTGCTTATATTTAATAGATAAATAATTTTCTACAACAGCTTGTTTTATTAAATGAATAAGTAAACTCTCACATTAAAGTCGATATGAGTAACTTGAAATTTAATTCCACAGCTAACCAGTTTACCAGTTTTCTTTAGTAATTTATTCAAAAACTGACAGCAGAAGATTAACTTGCAAGTTTTTTTTATCCCTAAATGGTTCTGAAGTTTGTAATTAATGATCCTAAATAAATAAACCACTTTTTTCAGTATCAGTAGATGTGTGAGCCATGAAAATATGAACAATCAATCATTTAATTTATCATGTTTCTCACATTATGTTCTATTGATCACTGATACGAGATTCTGTAACTCAAGTTTTAACAAATATTTATTGAATGATGAACAGACTAAATCTCAGTATTTATAGAGAATATGTGTCAATGTCATAACTTCCTCATCCATGTCCAATTTCTCCATCCTCAACATATTCATTTTTCATAAAGAAATGTATTCCCAGAAGAGGTAAGAACTTTACTTTCTTCAGCAAACTTGATGGTTGGGTGTGTTATCTTTTATATTCACATTTTGTTATTAACAAATGATTCATCTCTGCACATACAATTCACAGATTAATAAATGAAAAGGCTTTTATTAATAATTAATGACATTTTCTTTATTTGCTGAAGACTGAAATTCAGTGAGCTGAAAACTTCTCTTAATCTTTTAAAATAATATCTAGTAAAATTATCTGTGAGTTCCATTATATTGTATTCCCATGATAATCTAATGCTACATATATCTTATAGTCAAATTATTTTGAATAGGTTAATCAAGTTTATCCAAATTTTATTAAGTCTCCACTTTTGACAAAGCAGAGTAGGATATAGAAATGGAAAATATATAGGATACTTTTCCCTCCTCAGGTATTTATTCATACAGTATATTCAGATTTACTGTCTTAATTTCATTAATTTATATATTCAACATATGCTTTTTGGTATCTTAGCATGTGCCCTGACCATAAGGGCCTGAAGGCTGAATGGTGCTGAAGACAGTCTTCTTGCCCTCTTTGCCACTGAAATCCAGAGGACAGATAGGAAATAAGCAATGGAAAGATAATTTGGTTTGAAGCAACATGAATATAATTTTCTTTAAAATGAAATATATGTACCATAATGTCTCTTTTTTTAGACAAAGTTTCGCTCTTGTCCCTCAGGCTGAAGTGCAATGGCACGATCTCGGCTCACTGCCACCTCTGCCTCCTGGATTCAAGCGATTCTCCTGCCTCAGCCTCCTGAGTAGCTGGGATTACAGGCGCCTACCATCACACCTCACTAATTTTTGTATTTTTAGTACAGATGGGGTTTCACCATGTTGTCCAGGCTGGTCTCGAACTCCTGACCTCAGGTGATCTGCCTGTCTCGGCCTCCCAAAGTGCTGGGATTACAGGCGTGAGCCACCGCGCCCGACCATAACATGACATTTCTTTGTGTAGTTGAATATGTATGTTATGAGTAAATATCTAAAGGACGAATCAAATCTATTTTTATCAATAATGAAACAATGAAAATAATTATTTGGCTTTCCAAGGAAACCATCTTAGAGGAGGCAGAGTGTTATAAGCATGCTAAAGACAATGAACGTATTTATTTGCTTCCTCAAGAATTCTCACAACATGATAAATTTTATTAGCATCAGAAAGGTACTGTTTTCTGATTTTAAAAGTTACATTACCTAGAATACTTACATAAAAATCTATGCGAATTTGTATTTTAAAGCTTCCTGGCCCTCTTGTAACAACTCCCATGCCCATTAATTCCCCCATTCTTCTGGAAGATTATTTCCATATCATTTTCTCTCTCCTAAAATCTCCATACCCTTCTCCTCTTTTTCTTTGTACAGGGGGTGGCCTTCCTATTTTAGTGACAAAATAGAACTGATTAGAAAAAACATTTCATGAACTTCTATCTTTACATCTGACACCTGTCTACACAGCCGTGTGCCCAATGATCGTCTTCTCTCCTGTTATCATAAATGCATTACTTCTGCTAACAGAGGTTTGTCAGTTTGCACATGAGATTTCATCTCCTCTTCCTCAGTATAGTATATTGTGCCAATAATTGTATCAGTCATCTTTTGTATCATTAACATTTATCTCTCTGCTAGAGCTCTACTATGAGTGCACACTTAATCTGGTCTCTGTACCCTACTTCCCTCTCTTGCTATTGCTCTTCGCTTTCCTTTCCCTTGGAGCAAAACTGTTCTATGGTGTTGTCTATATTCACTACTACTGATTTCTCCACTCTTAGCCTATGCTGAACTCACTTCATTCAGAATTTCAATTTCACCAGGCTCCTGAAAATGCTCATTTCAAGGTCACCAATGACCTCCACCTGGTTAAATCCAATAATTAATTCTCATGTCTCCGCTTGCTAGGCCTATCAACAGCATGTAACAGTTACTTACTGTCTGCTTATAAAAACATTTTTTTTTTCTACTTGGTTTTCAGGTCACCACAATCTCCTGCTTTCCCTCCTAACTCCCTGCCACTCCTCAACCTCCTTGGATGGTTCTTCCACAAACATTCTAATGCCAATGATCAGTCTTTTGATATACTCTCTTCATTATCTGTGTTCATTGCCTTCCAGTTACATAATTTGAATACTTTCTCTTCACTGAGGACTTCCAAGGATATTTTCCCAGCCTAGACCTTTTCTCTGAATGCCAGACTCATATACACGCCTGCCTACCTGACATCACTTGGATTTAAAGCTGGCATTTCAGATTAACATGGCAAAAAACTGACCTACTGAACCATCCTCTCCTGCGTGAAAAATCAAGGTTTTTCTGCAGCCTTTCCTGCACAAATTGACGACAACCTCATCTATCTATTAATTCAGATCAGATAGAATGGAATTATTCTTGACTCTACTGTTTTGCTCCCTCACCACAGGTACTACAACAGCAAAACGATTGCCTGTCCTCTTAAAATGCATGCAGAATTTGACTGCCTTTGACCGCCCCCACTGCCCACTCTGGTTCGAGCTACCATCATTTTTCACTTGATAATGCCAGTTTGTCAATGTGGTACATTTCTACCAGCAATGTGTTCCACATTCTCACCACATTTGGTATTGTCAGTCTTTTGTGGTAGATATGCAGTGACATTTTATTTTGATTTAATTTGCATTTCTTTGATTACTAACGAGGCTTCACACATTTTCATATTAGCCATTTGGATATCTTCTTTTGGAGAGTTCCTGTTAAAACTTCTCACCTACATTTGAATAGCTTTGCTTTTATTGATATAAAGCCATTTTTGTATAATCTGAATATAAAACTTTTCCGGTTACATGAGTACTAATTACCATCCCCTACTCAGTGGCTTGATTTTTTGTTTTCTTAATTCTATCTTTCAATGAAGATAAGTTCTTATTTTTGGTAGTAAAATGTATCCATCTTTCTTGGATGGTTATTGGTTTTCGGTTTCCCTTAATTTTTTTCCTACCCCAAATATCATGAGGATATTATCCTTTATAATCTTTTGAAAGGTTTGACTTTAACACACAAATATTTAATCTGGCAGGATTTGATTTTGTGTGTGCTGTGACAAAGTGGCTAAACATCACTTTTTTTCATATGGAGATCCAATCATCTCCCTGGAAAAATAGTTCTTTTTCCACTGATCTTTAGAAGCATCTCTAAAAACAAATTGAATGTTCACACAGGTGATTTTCCCCTTAGGCCCTCTGTTCCATTCTACTACAGGTGGGTGAAAGGCCTTATTAAAGATGAAAAACCCAGAAGTCATAAAAATATCAACAAATCTGATTTGATATTATTAAATAGATAATTTTTAAAGGTCTTAACCTGATACAAATGTGAGAACAAAAGTTAACATATAATCAACTATCTGAGGGAAATATACTTTCCTGGTATTGTATATTATTGACCAGAAGTTAAGTTCATTAAGCTATAGAACACTTCTATGAATCAGCATGAAAATTATCAGCAACACAAAAGGAAAATTTGTAAAGGGAAATAAATGTAGAGAGTTCACTGGAGAATCAATAAAAATGGTATATGAACATATTAATACATTTGTTTCTCATAATTAATAAAATTTAAAACGATGCAATTTTCATTCTATCAGAACAGCAAAGGTTGCTTACATGTTAGCATAATCTGTTACTGAGGGTGAATGAAAACCAACTCTTTTATATTCTATTGGTGGGAATGGAAATATGGGATACCTTTCATAATCCCTATCTGTATTGGCCTAGCTATTCTGCATGTGCGTATAACCATAAAAGCAGTTTATCCTCCCCAAACCCTATGAAGCCAGCCCTTTTATTATCCCATTTCATTTGTGATATAAATACAACAAATATAGGTAAAGCAACTTGCCCAAGATTAAAATTAGGTTTTGTTTTTTTTTTGGCTGAAATTTGGTCCTAGTCTGACTTCACACTCCAGGCTCTTAATCAAATTTAACTGCCTTTCTATGAATATTTGAGGATATTCATTGTAGCAGCTTTATCAATATAGTATTAGATATAACATAAATACCAAGCAATATAGAATTTTTTTAAAAAATTATCTTCAAGAAATGAAATATGAAGCATTCATTAAGAAAAGAATGCTATAAATCTGTACGTGCTGATTAAAAAATATATAAAAACCTGGTGGTACTAGTTAACTTTGCAGTGAATCCTGGAAATCCAAAGTCAAAGGCAGATTTATTTTTCATTATTTCATAATTTTATTTTTCAATTCTACATTGATGCATGGTTTTAAATGTTTGTCAGGGGCATTTAAACCTTTCTGGGTAGTGAAAAAATGTGATTAAAACAGATAATCAACTCTGTCTGGACCATGTCCACTCTTGAGGTCTGCACCAAATGTACATACTTAGTAAAGAAAGTTTTCACTCATCCTTTGCTCACGGTAAATGTGGAATCCTAGGAACCATGCCTTGAACAGTTTTGGCATCAGATACAGGCTGTGGTTTACCCCTTCAGTTAATTATAAAGAGAAAAAAATATAAATGTAACAGTATCCATGACATTTGGGAGGCAGTTTGTGAAGGAGCCCAAAACTGTGAGGCTTCCTGCTGGGCTCTGTCATGCCTTCCAAGAGCCCTGATAGTTCATTCCTCAGAAGAAATGTCAAGCTGCCCATGCTGTCACAGAGCAGATGCTCTGCTGACGTCTTTGGGGAAGTGTCAAGTGACTAGAATCTGGATGCCAAAGATGGAATAAAACTCTTACCCTCAGCACTACATTCTGTGTGCCCCGTGTCCTGGTATTGGGTGATAATCTCAGGTCTTGCTGTTAGCGGTGGCCGCAGCTGGGGATACCAAACATGTGATGGGGACACCAAACATATGATGGGGAAACTAGAGGGCGTAGCTTTCTCTCTGCCTCTTTCACAAGAAGTTCTTTGTGGTTAGCAAGGAGAATGCATCTATTAAACTTGATTTCCCTTGGAAAAGGTTGCCCTCTTCTCTGGCAACTCTTACTTGAGAGGTATCCTCTTTATTTCAAAATATATCTTACAAGTATTCTTTCTTTGTATCTTGTCTTTTTTGTTCTTCAGTGTTTTCTAATATTTAGATTGCTTTTTCAAAGAAAGGCTTTATCAAGCCACAAAGTAAGTAAAGAAAGTGCAGAAATTTACATTTTTTCTCTTTAAATTTTTTATGCATTATTTGATTTGAGCTTTAAAAAACACGATGTTTTATGGCTCCTTGCAGAGGATAAAACAGAAATCTCTGAGTTTAAATAACTTGTCCAAAGTGATACAACTAATTAGAAATAGAGGTGGATTGAAAGCTCTAGTCTACCATGTTTTTCCATATACTGAGAGCATTGCTACAGTTTCCTGTGATTTGTGCATGCATTCTCATTACAGAATATGTCCCAGGCTTTAAAATACTAAGAACTAAAGTGAATAATATAGTGCTATTTTACTACAGAAAATTTCAAAAATTCTGAACAACAGAACAAATGATAGAGAGGGAGGAGGGAGAGAAGAGAAATGTAAGGAAGAAAGAGAAAGGAAAGAATAGGAGGAAGGAGACTGGGAAGACAAGAGGAAGGAGGACAATGAAGCAAGAACATGATTAACCAGAGACAAACACTATTCATATTTATATTTATATTTCATTTTTAAGGTATGAATTTTGTCTTATAAAGTGTTATGATCATACCCTCTAAGTCTTGATGTTATCATTTAACTTGAGAAAATCAGAAGTTTCATAAGTTGGTAGACATTCTTTTACATTTTAATTTTCCAGCTAATATTTTTAAAAACAGAATTCCCTGTTTTCCTATGTTGGGTATTTATGGTTATGGTCTCCTTTATTATTGTAATTATAAAGTAATTGAGTAACATATGGTATTTTTCCCAGACAGGAAACATTCACAGAAGTACCATTAGTAGACTGAAGAGTAGGAATACTTTAAGGCTTTTCATATGTATGGATATATTTATTTCCAGAAAATTTTATACCAGTTATTACTTATTCTAAAAATGTATGAGAAATAACAGCATATATATATATATATATATATATATATATATATATATAATTTTGGTTAATTTGATCAATATATTGAATGTTTTTCAGCTTGTATTTATACTACTACTGAGCTAAAGAATTTTGATAATTTTGCTAAGTAAGTATTCTTATTTTTATTATGAATTATATTATTTACACATTGAAAATCTGATTAATTTTATGAGAATTATCTCATTCTATGCATTGAAGCCTCAAGTATATATGATTTTGATGAACGCTGCTTTAAGGAAATCAATATAAAATTAATAAGATATTTATATGTAATGAGAAAATAAATTTAAATACATACCATAATCATAAAATTCAGAATAAAAATATAGTATTTAGGAAATTTCTAACATAAATCTATATTTTTCTACTATTATTTTTGTCATATTTTCTTTCATTGTCCCTTTACAGGAAAATGATTATATACTATCAATTTCTGATATAAATAGAAACTAGACAAGTGATTGCCTGAGGCTAGAGGGTCTGGTGTGGGATGGGGAGGCAAGGAGAAGATAGGAGGGGTGGAGAGAGAAATGGTGAATGCCTACTAATCGTTATGGAATTTCTTCATTGAATGATGAAAAAGCTTTAAAATTGATTTTGGTGGTGGTTGCGTATCTCTGTGAATATACTAAAAGCCATCAGATTGCGTATTTTAAATGAGTGAATAATATAATATGCAAATTACATCTCAATAAAACTGTTAAAATAATTCAGATGTCAGCTGGGCATGGTGGCTCACGCCTGTTATCCCAGCATTTTGGGGAGGCCAAGGCAGGCAGATCACCTGAGGTCAGGAGTTTGAGACCAGCCTGGCCAACATGGTGAAACCCCGTCTCTACTAAAAATACAAAAATTAGCCAGGCATGGTGGCATGCGCCTGTAATCCCGGCTACCCAGGAGGCTGAGACAGGAGAGTCGCTAGAACCCGGGAGGGAGAGGCTGCAGTAAGCGGAGATCACGCCACTGTACTCCAGGATGGGCGACAGAACAAGATTCCGTCTCAAAAAAAAAAAAAAAAAAAGAAATTCAGATATCAGATTAGAAAGTCAAAGCAGTCTTTTCTCTAGTGATATAAATTAATTTTCATTAATAACATATTTTAGGAAAGAATACTTCAGCATCATAATGTATTATTGAAAATGTCATTTACATTTTTGAGATATAGTCAAACTTGGGAAAACTTTCAATTTTCTTTATATATAAGCTGTGAAATTTTAAAATATTATTGAATATATAAAATATATGTATAGATATTTTAGCATAAAAATTTATTTTGACCAGGCTGCTTTGGAAACTGAGTTCTCCTTGTTAATTTTAAATGTCTGATTATTTGAAGAATTTACATGAACTAGTTTCTGGCACTGTAAAATTCAAATACTGCCTTTTCTTCATTATCCCCACATTTCTTTTAAAAGTTTGTTTAACTTCAGAAAAAATTGACAGATAAGTATTTATTGTGTACAGCATGATGCTTTGACGTATACAGTTGTATCTTGGTATCTATGGAGAATTGGTTTTAAGATCTCTTACAGATACCAAAATTCATGCATGATCAAATCCCTTATACAAAATGACATAGTATTTGCATATAACCCATTCACATCCTCTCATATACTTTAAATCATCGCTTGATTAATTATAATACCTATTACCATGTAAATGCTTTGTAAGTAGTTAGTATACAGTATTCTTTGGAAAATAATGACAAAATATGGCTATACATGTTTAGTATAGGCATATCCATCCATGTTTGTTTTCTAAATATTTCCATCCAATTGCTTGAATGCACAGATATAAAACTCAAGGATCCAGAGGGCCAACAGTATGTACATTTTGGAGTGACTAAATCTAGCTAATTGACAAATGCATTACTTCATATAGTTATTTTTGTGGTGAGAACATGTACCATCAACTGTCTAAATTTTTCAAGAATACAATAAAAGGTCATTTTCTATAGACACAGTGGTGTAACATAGATCTTTTAAAATTATTCTAATTGTAATTATAAATCCTTTGACCAACATTTCCACACCTCTCTACCCACCTACCTAGCCTCTGATAATCACCATTCTATTCTCTACTTCTTTGAGGTCAACTTTTTTAGATTCCACATGAAGAAGATTATGGAGTATTTGTCTTTCTGTGTCTGGCTCATTTTATTTAACATAAGGTCCTCCAGGTCTATCCATGTTGTAACAAATTACAGGGTTTTTTTTCTTTCTTTTTTCTGTGGCTGAATAATATTCCTTTGGGTATATGTACCACATTTTCTTTATTCATTCATCTGTTGATGAACACTTAGGCTGATTCCACATCTTGGCTTCTGTGAATGGTCCTGCAGTAAGTATGGCAGTGCAGAAATCTCTGACATCCTGATTTCATTTCCTTTGTGTATATAGCCAGTAGCAGTGGTTGTATAGTACAGTAGTTCTATTTTTAGAATTTTGAAGGAACTCCATATTGTTTTTCATGATAGTTGTACTAATTTACATTCCCATCAATGGTGTCCCCTTTGTCCACATGCTCATCAACACTTATCTTTTTTCTTTTTGATAATAGCCATTCAAACCAGAGTGAGGTAATGTCTCATTGTGGTTTTAATTTCATTTTCCTGATGATTAGTCATGTTGAACTTTTTTTTTCATATACCTAATGGCCACTTTTTTCATATACCTATTGAAAAATACCCTTTTAGGTCTTTTGCTATTTTTAAATTGGGTTATTTGTTGTATTGCCATGGAGTCATTTGAATTCCTTATAAATTTTGGATATAACCCTCTTATCAGATATATAGTTTCTAAATATTTTCTATCATTCTGTAGGTTATTTTTCTGCTATGTTGATTGGTTATTTTGCTGAATAACCTTTTTTGTTTGATATAATTCAATTTATATATTTTTGTTTGTGTTGAGTATGCTTTTGAGGTTATATCCAAAAAAATTGGATGTTATTTTTAGATGTTGGATATAAAAATGAATCACTGAACATGGGATATCTTTTGATTCATTTGTGTCTTCTTTAACTTTTTTTATTAATGTTTCATAGTTTTTAATGCAGAGGTTTTCCACCTCTTTAAATTTATTCCAAAGTATTCTTTTGTGTGTGTGTGTGTGTGTGTGTGTGTGTGTGTGTGTGTGGGTGTGTAACTACTCTAAATGGTATTGTTTCTTGATGGTTCCAAACCAGTGTCATGGAGCTTCTCCCCTATGTTTTCTTCCAGCAGTTTCATAATTTCAGATCTTACATTTGAGTCTTTAATGTACTTTGAGTTGACTTTGCGTATGGTGAGAGATAAAGGTCTAATTTTATTCTTCTGCATGTGGATATACATTTGTTTCAACACTACTTATTGAAGAGACCTCTTTTCACCATTATGTGTTCTTGTCTACTTTGTCAAAAATCAGTTAGCCGTAAATGTATGCATTGATCTCTGGGCTCTCTATTCTGTTCCATTGATCTATGTGTCTGTTTTTATGCCAGTTTAATGTTATTTTGGGGTATAGCTTTTCAGTACATTTTATTTATTTTATTCTATTTTTTTAAATATCTCCTCAAATTCCTTTTCTACCATGTAGTATATTTTAAATTTAGGTAATGTGATGTTTCTACCTTGCTCCTTTTTGCTCAAAACTGCTTTGACTATTCAGGGTATTTTGTGTTTTCATAAAAGTTAAAAAAAATCTATTTTAGTGAATAATGCCATTGGTATTTTGGTAGAAATTGCATTAAATCTTTCGATTATTTTGAGTAGTATAGACATTTTAATATTTATTCCTATAATTGCTGAACATGGGGTGTTTTTTATTTAATTATGTCTTCTTTAACTTCTTTCATCCATGTTTTATAAAGTACAGCGCCTTCACTTCTTTAGTTAAATCCTGTATAATTCCAGTTATATAGTATCTTCCAAAAAGATGCTATATAATTTCAATCTTCTTAATTACTGCATAATTTTGTTGAAAAGTTATGCATATACATTCATCAGGGATACTGGCCTGTAGTTTTCTTCTTTGTTGTGTTCATGTCTGGTTTTGGTATCTGGGCAATACTGACCTTGTAGAATGAGTGTGGAAGTATTCTCTTCAATATTTTGGAGAAATTTGAGAAAAATTGGTATTAGTTTTTGAAAAAAGTTTGGTAGAGTTTAGCAGTGAAAACATCTGAATTTTTATTAGTGATTCAATTTCCTTACTTATTGGTCTGTTCAGGCCAGATTTCATTTTTTTAAGAATTCAATTTTGGTAGGTTGTATATATCCAGGCATTAATCCATTTCTTCTAGGCTATCCAATTGGTTGACATTATTGTTTGTAATAGTCTCTTACAATCTTTTGTATTATTGTGGTATCAATTGTAATGTAATTTTTGATCCTGATTTTATTTTTTGAGTCTTCTCTCTCTCTCTCTTTAAAAATTAATCTTGCTAAATGATTGTCAGTTTTGCTTAATTTTCATAAACCATCTCTTTTTTTGGTCTTTTGTATTGTTTTTCTAGTCTCTATTTTATTTATTTCTGCTCTTTTATTATTTCTTTACTTCTACAAATTTTGGGTTGAGTTTGTTCTTTCTAGTTCTTGAGGTGAAATGTTAGGTTGTTTAGAGAACTTCCTTGTTTTCTGATTCAGGCATCTATTGCTGTAAACTTCCCTCATATAACTGCTTTTGCTGTATCCCATAGATTTTGATACATTGTGTGTTCATTTTTGTTTGTTTAAAGAAATTTTAAAAAATTTTATTTTTATTTCACTATTGACCAATTGGTTATTTGGCAGCATATTGTTTAATTTTCAGGTATTTTTAATATTTCCAAAATTTCTCCTGTTGGTCATTTCTAGTTTATGCTGATGTCAACAGGGGAAAATGACGAGACAATTCTCAATCATTTTCAGAGATTGATTTGCCAAAGTTAAGAACATGCCTGGGAGACAGGTCTATGCTTTTCTCCAAAGATGATTTTGAGGGCTCCAAATTTAAAGGGAAAGCACACAGTTTTCATATAAACAAAGGGACAGAGGAAAAATGTGGGAAATCTGCATTTTACATATGATAACACAGACAAAATGGGGTAGGGGAACAATTAGATATGCATTTGTGTCTGGTGGGAAGGGGGTGACTGCACCTGTAAAGATAAGCTATCAATTTGCATTGCCATGGCAGAGTTTTAACAGCTCACTAGGAATTTACTCGTGGGCGAAATATGGAGGAGACATGTAGCCTTTCATCTTCTAGTGATCTTATTTAGGAATCAAAATGGGAGGCAGGTTTTCATGGCCCAGTTCCCAGCTTGACTTTTCCCTTTGGCTAAACGAGTTTGGGGGCCCCAAAATTTAATTTCCTTCCATACCATTATATTTAGAAAAAACTACTGTATATTTTCAATCTTCTTAAATTTGTTAAAACTTGTTTTGTGGCCTTGCATATGATGTATTTTGAAGAGTGTTCCATATGAAGTTGAAAATAATGTATATTATGCAACTGTAGGATGAAATGTTCTATAAATATCTGTTAGATCCATTATGTCTAGGCTGCTATTTAAATTCAGTGTTTCTTTGTTAATTTTCTATGTGGATGATCTATACATTGCTAATGAACTCCAGCTTTTGTTTTTCTTTATAGCTCCTTCATTTCTGAAGGGCAGCTTCATTGGGCATAGCTTTACCAGTATGCAATTTTTTTTTCCTCAGTGCCTTGAATATATCATTCAACTGTCTCCTGGGCTGTAAGGTTTCCCCTGACAAGTCTCCTCCTAGACATATTGAAACTCTCTTCCATATCATTTGTCTCCTTTCTCTTGATGCTTTCATGTTTTTTTCTTTGTCTTTAATCTTTGAAAGTGTGATTACAATATGTCATGTGGGTAGTTTTCTTTGGATTGAATGTGATTAGAATTCTATTAACTTTTTGTACCTAGATATTTATATCTTCCTCCAGATTTGGAAAGTTTTCTGCTATTATTTCTTTAAATAAGTTTTTTATCCCTTTATCTTTCTCTGTTGTCTTTTAAATGCCAGTGATGCATCAATTTCATCTTTTGATGATGTCACACACTCTCATAAGCTTTCTTTTTTCCCTTTAAATCTTTTTTTCTTCTCTGTCTGTATATTTTCAAATTTCTTCTTATTAAGTTGACAGTTTCTTTCTTCTCCTTGATCAACTTGTTACCAGTGGCAGGTAACTGAGTTACCACCAGTGAATCTGTATGGGTCTGCAGCAACCTCAGTTCCTGCCTCCTCAGAAGAAAGAATTGGACAGTGGGGCATAAGGCAGGAGAGACTGAGACGAGTTTTAGATCAGGAGTAAAAGTTTCAAAAGTTCTAAGCAGAAACAAAAGGAAGGAAGGTACACTTGGGAGAGGGCCAAGTGGGCAACTTGAAAGCGAAGTGTGCGGTTTGACTTTTGACTTAGAGTTTTATATGTTGGCATACTTCCAGGGTCTTGCATCCTTTCTCCCCTAAATCTTCTCTTCAGGTGGGCTGTCTGCACACACAGTGGTCTGCTAGTGCTTGGGATGGGAGCATGTGCAGCGTGTTTACTGGAATTGTATACATGCCCACTTAACGCATTCTTTCCTTACCAGCTGAATGCTCCTAGAAGGTCATTATCCGTTAAATTTCACTATTTTGCCTGTAATGCACATGCTTGAACTCACTTGTCCAATTCCTGAGATCTTAACAGGAAGCTGCTGATCTCCAGTTTCAGGATTTTCTATGTATAGGGAGACCACCTTTCCCTGGCGCTGCCTGTGACCAATTATTATTTTAGAGAGACAGTTAACAACCACCTGATCATCACCTCATGGTCACCTGACATTCCCAATCAGGCGGAGCCCTCTCCTGCCCTGCTCATGCTTGACTAACTACCCACTGTAACATTTCTCGCGTCAAGAGTCCAAGACTCCAATTCTTTGGGGAAAATTCATAAAGGTCAGTCTCCTGTAACTGCTTTCTGCTGACAGAGGGTCGGTGGTCATGGTTCTGTGAATCTTGGCCTCTTGCTAGCTGTCAGGGCAGGAGGGTGTTTCTATATGTTGGTGAAAGCAGTATCCAGCTAGGTCCAAAGGAGACAGAGGCAGGATTTCACCTCTATTATGTCCCACTGATGGGCTATCTAGGGGTCCTCTGTAGAAGGGTGAATTGAATATTGAGAAGACATTATCCCTCACTGAAAATCATCTGGAGCTTGATGGCCTGAAGGCAAAAGGAGAAAAATCAGGTTATTAGAAGACTTAAAACAAAATAAGGTGATGAGGACAACTCCAAAAAAATCCTGAGGCTGCCAACATGCCCAGGCAACTCATGGCTGTAGTCATGCCTGCTAAGATAAATCTCTTTTCTTTACAACCTTTCTTACCAGAAATACCTCTTTACCTATATAACCTTTGAATTAAACAAGTAATTTCCCCTTCTCTTAGAAAGTTAAGGTTTGTACTGCATGTTACTGTGCAAGTCCTGTGAGGAGGGAGCAGAGAAGGTTACCTATATAATGTAGAAGTTATCGCCCCTTAAAAGATTGCTCTGTTAGAGTTTTGCAGGGCTTGCCTGCATAAGTGTGGGCTATTTCTAAATCCATGATGAAATTATTGGTTAAATGTATAGGTAGCTTTCCCAAAAGAAATAGAGCTATTAGAAGAAAAGATGAATTCAGAGGTTGGGTAAATGTTAAGGAGGCACCCATCTTGGAAAGTATATTTTTGCCCCAAAGAGGTGTGGGGTATTTAGATATACTAGGGACTGATTAGAGAATGGTAATTGGTCCCTTAAGTAATACAAAGGGGTGTGAATTATTTCTTTTGGAGGGAAGGGATGCCATTTGCCCCAATTACTCAACAGGATTTGGAGGAGGTTTGTTCAGAGAAGGAGATTAGCACAGAGCAGGCAGCTTTTAAACTCAAAAGGGAAATTTATAATTTTACTCGCACCTCCAGAGTTGTCCATAGCTTTGTACTATTGATGACAATGTCTGATTTGGACACCAGCTGGAGCAGAGAGCCCCTTCAGCCCAAGGCCGTCAGGGGTTGGGATTCTTCCCAGGGACCCTTTGGCCCCCAAGGCAGTCTTGTTTCCAGTGGCTGTGCTTGTGGCAGAGAGGATAAGCCATGGGAGGCGTTTTCCCATTTATCCCATTGGGGCGCAGTTTGCCTTGCAGTGGCCTGGCTTCCTGTACCAATGGCATTTACCTGGAGGAGTGTCCTTAGGGCAACTTAAAGGGGGCTGGTGGGCTTGCAGAGCAGCCAATAGTTGAGCCTGCCTCCTTTCCCTGGGTTTCTCCTTTTCCTTAGCCCTCTCCTCCTTATTTTGCTGTTGGCTTAAAAAGACTGAAAAGGCTAACTAACCAAGGAACTCCTGCACTGGGTCCCAAGGCTGACTTCTGTAACTTCCTCCCAAGTCATTTTTAAGCCAAACAGTATTACAAAGGAAAACTAGTTTTGTAAGGTTTGGGGGAATCAAACTTTTCCAGTTTTGGGGGAAGCATCCAAGGGGCACGTCCTATGTTATGGAGATGTGATTACCCATCTGTGAAGAGAGAACAGAGCAGAAAAAGGAAAAGAGTAAAAGAAAGCTTTCCCTCTACTTGACTACTATCATGATGGGCATCCCCCATCATTCTTTGGGTTCTGGAATAAACCAGTCTTACTGTGTACCCTTGGTACCATCTCATCACAGTTACCCACTTGAGAATAGATGAGATGCTGGAGTGAAGCGTTGGACCCCTGTTCGTCCTTAGGGTTCCAGAATAACTGGTCTTACCATGTACCCCTAATGTTTCATCTCTGTTCTAATGGTAATCTGTTAGCCTGGGACCAACCTATATCTTTGTTCAATGAGTCTCTTGCACCTGTGTCCTTGGGCTGGCCTATATCCTTGTCTCCAAGACTTTAGAGTGACTCTCACCAAGAGCATTTGTGCAATAAAATGATTATCTCTTTTCTCAGATTCCAATTTCCCACATTCCTTAAGTAGATGAGAATTCTGTTTTTCAGCTAACTGCCACAAGGGGGCTGGACTTCCCTCCAGCTCCCTTCGAATATGACCTTGAAGGTCCTGATGCATGTTGAGAAGGGCGTGGAAGTAATTACAGAAATGGAGGCTACAGGAGGAAGTGGAAGGAAGGAAAAGGAATACTCGTGGAAAGCCTTCATATGTTCACAAAAACAGCAGCCTTGGATTCGAGAGGGCAAAGTAGTAACCTCCAGAGGTCTTGGGGCTTGAGATAAGAGTTCACAAATGGCAAAGGAAGAATTTTTTGTTATCCAAAAGGTATGCTAACTCAAAAAAAAAAAAAAAGGGTGGCATCCTTAAAAGGCCAGAATGAGGCCTTATGCAGGCAAACAAACTACTTCAAAAGCCAATAGAAAACTTGGCCCTGTGTAATAACAGGAAGCAAAAGCATATGTTAAGTGGTAAGGAGCTGACGGAGATGGAATTCCAATTAGTGTCTGCCTGGGCAATGTACCAGCAGACAGGTGAAGGGTTGGAGGTCATCTGAGCTGGTAGGGTAAAAACAAATATAAATCTCAGGGATATCTGCAAGGGAGCCCATGTCTTTGCTCCACACAAATGCAGTAAAAGTCATGGGCATACAAATAAAAGGGAGTGTGTATTTAAGAAGTCATGTGGTATGTGAAATGAAAGCAAAGAGGCAGATTTTCCACCGAGGTGGACAGTCTGGTGGGTACACAAGGCCATTTCAGAACACACAGAGAGAAAGACAGAAGAATAGGCAGTATGGGTTCTTGGGAAAGAGCCGATTTTAGTTGAAAAAGCAGTGGAAACCCTAGACATTGTATGATTTTAGGCTTTAGCCCTACCACTCTCGTGAGCCTCCTGTCCAGGAGAGCAATTAGTGCCTCAGTTCTAATTCCAGGGTCCTTCCCACCTCTGTGAGTCACCTATCAGGGTAAGCTGAGAGATCTTCTGGGAGGAGCAAGTCACTTATGACTAAGGGATTATTCTGGGGGTTGGATAGTAAGTAGGAGAAGAAAACCGTGTACAGATATTGAACACCTCCAGCTGAAGAAGGTGAGGCATAGAGACGAGGCACTAGGGAATATGTCTGAGTCATGCAGTACCAAAGTATGTTGGTGGTGAAAGTTATCCAAGTCACATGGCACCAAAATATGTTAGGGTGGTGAATCCACATATGTCTGCAGCAACCTCATTCTTGCCTCCTCAGAAGAAAGAATTTGACTGAGGGGCATAAGGCAGAAGAAGAGACCGAGGAAAGTTTTAGAGCAAGAGAGAAAGTTTGTTAAAAAGCTTTACAGCTGGAACAAAGGAAGGAAAGTACATTTGAAAGAGGGGCAGACAATTTAAAAGACAAGTGCATGGTTTGACCTTTAGTCTTGGGGTTTTACATGTTGGCATACTTCTGGGGTCTTGTGTCCCTTCTCCCTTGATTCTTCACTTGGGGTGCACTGTCCACATGCACAGTGGCCTGCTTGGGAGGGGAGCATGCACAGTCCATTTACTGGAATTTTACTCATGCTTGCTTGAGGTGTTCTTTTTACTGGGGGAATGTCCCTGGAAGGTCATATGTCATTTAACAGTTAAACTCTACCATTTTGTCTCTTAATGCACATGCTTGAGCCCAGTCACCAAACTCCTGAGATCTTTTCAGGAAGTTGCTGATAACCGGTTTCAGGATTTTCTGTCCATAGGGAGTCTGCCTTTCCTTGGCTCTGGCTGCAAACAATCATTATTTTAGAGAGACAGTGTAACAACTGCCTGACAGTTACTTGATGGTCACCTGACATTCCTGATGGGGTGGGTTGGGGGAGCCCTCCCCTGCCCTGCTCATGCCTGACTAGCTACCTACTGTAACAATTTGCTTCATGTCTGATTAGCTACCTACTGTAACAAATTCTTCTGTCAATGTTCTTTCTTGCATTTTTATCTTATTGATTGTTTTTCAGCTTTAGGATTTCTGCTTGGGTTTATATTATTTCAATCTCTCTGTTAAATTTCTTTAATAAATTTCTTAATTATTTTTCTGTGCTTTCTCAAAGTTTCTTAAGCTTCCTTACAACTGCTATACTGAATTCTTTGTTAGGCACTATATATATAGTATATGGTATTATATAGATATTATAAATAATATATATTATCTATATAATATCTATATTATGGCCCTATAATATAATATCTATATTATATATATAGATAATATATATATAATATAGATAATATAATGTAGATAATTTTGTCTATATTATATATAATATAGATACTATATATTACATATTAGAGCAATAGGAACTTTCTGTATATTAGAAAGACCAACAGGAACTAAACTCCAGCACACATAAAAAAAAACTAATAAAAAATGAACATTGCTTCATTGACTTGTGAAACAATATAAAGAGGTTAACATATATGTCAAAAGAGTATAAAATAAAAAAAGGAAAAATATATTCTGGCAAAAAACATTTGATTAAGTAATGGCAGAACATGTTCCAAATTTGATGAGACTTTGATGAAACACAAAAAACTCAAATTCAAAGACCCTCAAGAAGAATAAGCAGAAAACTATACCAGGAGAATTATACCAAGACACAATCAAATTGTTGATAATTGATATTAAACACTCTTAAAAGTAATCAGACAAATGAGACATATTTCTGGTCAGAAGCAATTCAAGCTGAAAGAAAAAGTAGTGCCGTCTTTAAAGTACAGAAAAGAAACAGTGCATCCTGTCCCTTAGAATCATCTATCTAATGAAAATAATCTTCAAATATAAGGTTAACCTACAAATAAAAATGTAAAAAAAAAGTGGTAAGAAAATTGGTTATCAGCAGACCTCTAGCTCCAAACACATTAAAGAGTATTCTTCAGACTGTGTAAAACGATACTGGATAAACACTCAATTCTACACAAAGGAATGAGAAGCACTAGAAACTGTCAATATGTACATAGGTAAGATATTTCCATTTTTAATTCGTTTAAAAGACTAAAGTGTAAAAGGTAATAACAATGTATGATAAAGTTTGTAAAAGTCACAGAATTAAGATGTAAGATAATAGCAGGATGGATGAGAGAATATAGAGTATACTGTTGCAAAATTCTTATCTTAGATATACAACCAGGCACAGAAGCTCATGCCTGTAATTCCAGCACTTTGAGAGACCAAGGCAAGAGGATCACATAAGCACAGGATTTTGAGACCAGCCTGAGCAACATAGTGAGATGCTGTCTCTACAGAAAATAAGAAAATTAGCCATGCATGATGGTGTGCTTCTTTAGTCCCAGCTGCTTGGGAGGTTGAGGTGGGAGGATCAGGTGAGCCCAGGAATTGGAAGCTACAGTGAGCCACCAATGTGTTCCAGCCTGGGTGACAGATTGAGACCCAGTCTTAAATATATAGAGATGGTAATAAGTGGAAGCTTATTTGTCAACCCTAGAACTAGCACTAAATATAACACAAAGGGCATACATAATGAGTCAATAGCCACATTAGGGAAGTACTAGAAATTGTGAAAAATAAGGATAAAAAAGTAGAAAAAATGATAAGTGTAACATAAAATACAAATAAGTTGAGGCTGTAAGTTCACCTTCAACAGCAATTACTAAAAGTTATTGGAACAAACATTTCAGATAAAGGAAATAAATTGTTAAAATGTGTAAAAAAGCAGAACGGAATTATATGCTATTTCAAGAGGTTTACCTTAAATAAGAAGATACAGTTTTGTCGAATGTACAAGAATGAAAAACAGTTTATCACAGAAGCACTATCATGAAAATAACTGAAGTGTCTATATTGATATTAGAGAAAATAAACTTGTTGACACATTTTATGTCCAGAGAAAAAGAGTAACATTTCCTAATGATAAAGGGTCATATTATCAAGAAGGCAAAACATAATAAATGAAGCAAGTATGAGCAAAGCAAAAGCTAAAGAGAAGCAGACAAATCGACAATTATAGTTGGCAATTTAAACACTCTTGGTAATATTTTCAACAGAAAATAAACAATATTAAACACTTGAACAGCACCACAACCAACCTAACCTAATTTGCATTTATAAACATTACTTTGCACACAATTGCATAATTAGTTGTTTTCAAGTTCAAAGAAAATTTTAACCAATTTAGACTCTATGTTGAACCATAAAATATGTCTCAGCTAATTTTAAAGAATTAAAATTAGAGTGATCTCTTTGGCTTTTTTTTTTTTTTTTTTTTTTTTTGAGATGGAGTCTCGCTCTGTCACCCAGGCTGGAGTGCAATGGCACCAACTCGGCTCACTGCAACCTTCGCCTCCTGGGTTCAAGCAATTCTCCTGCCTCAGTCTCCCAAGTAGCTGGGACTACAGGCGCCCGCCACCATGCCTGACTAATTTTTTGTATTTTTAGTAGAGACGGGGTTTCACCGTGTTAGCCAGGATGGTCTTGATCTTCTAACCTTGTGATCAGCCCACTTCGGCCTCCCAAAGTGCTGGGATTACAGGCGTGAGCCACCGTGCACAGCCTCTCTTTGGCTTTAAATGAATTAACAAAAATAACAAAAAAAAAAAAACCTGCCAAATATCTGGAATATTCTCAAATAATTGAAAATTTAACCTATTACTAGATAGAGCATGGATCAAAGTAGAATTTCAAAGGGAATTAGAAGCTATGTCAAACTGAATGGTAATAAAAACACAGCCGATCAAAATTTAAGAATTACAAGAGAACTTCTTGTGGTAATTACTTATACTAAAAAAGAAAAGTGCAAACTTAATGATCTAAACTTTTACCTTAATAAGCTAGAAAAATGAGATAATTTAAAGAAATCAAGAAAAAGAATTCATGAGTGAAACTCAGTGAAACAGAAAATAGAAAAGCCCTGAAGAAAAATAAAAACAAAAGTTGCTTAAGGTTAATAAATTTGTTAAGAGTTTAGTTAGCTGGTCAAAGATAAAAAAGAAAACACAAATAACAATATGGATTAAAAACGGGACAATGCAGATCTTATGGACTTTAAAGATATAGGAATCTTATTAAAGATTTTATGCCAATTAACATTTTTGGTAAAATGTGCATATATATATATATATATATATATATTTTTTTTTTTTTTTTTTTTTTTTTGAGATGGAGTTTTGCTCTTGTTGCCCAGGCTGGAGTGCAATGGCATGATCTCGGCTCACCACAGCCTCTGCCTCCCGGGTTCAAGCGATTCTCCTGCCTCAGCCTTCCTGAGTAGCTGGGATTACAGGCGTGTGCCACCACCCTTGACTAATTTTGTATGTTTAGTAGAGACAGGGTTTCTCCATGTTGGTCAGGCTGGTCTCAAACTCCCGACCTAGGTGATCCACCTCGGCCTCCCAAAGTGCTGGGATTACAGGCATGAGCCACCACGCCCAGCCTAAATGTGCAAATATTTTGAATACAAAGATTACCAACATTGACACAAAAGAGAAAATCTGCATGGCTCTATGTTTAATAAATACACCATATTCAATATTACAAGTTGTGTGTGCACACTCATACACTCACTCAAATATTTAAGAAAAATATAGCAATTTTAAACAAATTTTTTTAACACAAATAAGAGATAGCACCTCCAAACATTGCATGAGGACAATATTGCATTGGTAACAAAACCAACTTAAAAATACAAGAAAAGGAAATTATAGATTAATTTTCCTCATAAATCCATGGCAAAGATCATTAACAAAATATTGACAAAACCAGAAATTTTTCATGTATGATAAACAAGTGAGATTTATCCCAAAAATTAGAAATGTGTTTACCACTTGAAAATTAATTCTTGCAGTCTTCTCTATTCAGTAACAAAAGGATTACATGATAATTTCATAGATGCAAAAAAATTGACAGAAATTCAATACACATTTATATAAAAATAAGAAAAAGACTTAACAAGGAATAGAAGACATCACTCTAGTAACTCTAATCTATATAAATATAATAAAAGGCATCTATACAAGGTTCATAGCTAACATCATATTTAAGAGTAAAAGATGGAATACTTTCCTACTACCAAAGGTCAAAAACAAGGCAAATACATCTGCAATTACTACTTGAGTAAACATTGTAGTGGAGGTCTCAGCCCTGGCAATAAAATAAGAAAATAAAATAAAAAGCAGGGAGAGTGGATATAAAAAATTAAAGCTTTCCTTATTTGAAATCAACAGAGAAACTTCAAAAATAAATACTTGTAGAGACAATTATTTTCAACTTGAGGCATCAAAGAAATTCAATGTTATAAGGAAGGTTTTCAACAGAGTATTCAATTGACTGACTACTTATATGAAGAAGAAGAAGAAATGTTAACCTTAACTAATACTACAAATACCTGACACCTTTTACAAAAGTCAATTAGAGATACATCATAGAGGTGATATAATGATACATTTAGAATAATCAGATTTCTACAACAACATAAGGAAGACTAACCATAACCTTGGCAAAAGCAAAGATTATTTAAATATAACAACTAGAAAGTATCAAGTATAAATTAATATTATAATAAAATGGGCTTCAGGCATAGTGGCTCATGCCTGTAATCCCAGCACTGTGAGAGGGCGAGGAGGGCAGATCACCTGAGGTTGGGAGTTCAAGACCAGCCTGAGTGACATGGAGAAACCCTGTCTCTACTAAACATACAAAATTAGCCAGGCATGGTAGCACATGCCTTTAATCCTAGCTACTTGTGAGGCTGAAGCAGGAGAATCACTTGAACCTCGGAGGTGGAGGTTGTGGTGAACCGAGATCACGCCATTGCACTACTGCAGCCTGGGCAAGAACAGTGAAATTCTGTCTCAAAAAAAAAAAAAAAAAAAGGCTTCATTAAAACTAAAAACTTTCAAATGAAAGACAAACAAATACAAATAGGTAAGTCACAGAATCATGGAAAGTACTTATAAAACTTTGTGATAAAGGTTTTATATATACATACGACCTACGTATAATGATATTGAGCACATTTTTATTTATTTACAGATAAGCCATTTGGATATGTATTTGACTGCATCACAAATAGCAAAAAGACACACTAATGAAAACTTCGGACAAAAATCTTCAACAGGCATTTTACAAAGGAAAATATCCAAATGGCTTATGCACAAATAAAAATGTGCTCAATATTATTAGTTATGAGGGAAATGCAAATTAAAACTACAATTGAATACCACTACATGTCTACCAGTATGTCTAAAATTAATAAGATTAAACACAAATTTTATTAAGAATTTATAGATCCTGGAACACTCATACCTTATTGGAGGAGTATTATGGTGCCTTGTAGCCAGGAATATCACACGTACATACCCAAATAAATGAAAATATGTGTGCACTAAAGAGTATGTCCATCAATTGAATAACTGATAAATTGTGATATTTCCCTACAATGAAATATTATTCAGCAATAAAAAAGAATAAATCAGCATTTGATGCAACAGCATGGAAAATTTGCATATTTTCATTTGTAAAACGCTTGTTCAAGCTTTTTGAGCAAATTTTCATGATTTGTCTTTTTATTATTTGTGATGCAGTTATTTATACATTATGAATATAAGACCTTTACCAGAAATACTTATGCATACTTTCTGTGATTCTGTGACTTGCCTATTCATATTTTTATTGTCTTTTGTTGGCAAGTTTTCAGTTTTGATGAAGCCCATTTTATTATAACATTATTTTACAGTTACTACTTTCTTAAAAGGATTATGCTAAATTAGAAAAGGCAAATACACAAGAGTACAGGCTGTATAATTCCATTTATTTGTAATTTCAAAACAACCAAAACTAATCCATAGTGAACAAAATAAAAACAGTGTTTTCCGGAGTAAGGGTATTGATTAACAAGAAAGAGGTACTTGGTCTGTTTTTTGGAAGCCTGAATATCTTACATTTTGATAAGAGTGTGGGGACAGGCTGTATACAATTCTCAAAACTCATGAACCTGTAATCTAAAGATCTACTCATTTAATTGCATGTAAATGATTCCTCAATGAAAAAAATATCTTTTAGCATGTGTAGAAAAATGTCAGTAGTAGTTACTGTAAATATTAAGTGGAAAATCCATATTTCTATGATTTGATTCATTTTTATTTGTAATTTTTCTCAGAATTTCGTTTTATAATTTAAACATGAAAAAAGCTTATTTAGTTTGGCTATTTAATTTCTATTTTTAATTGACAGATAAAATTTGTATACAGGTGGCCCTTGAGCAACATGGGTTCGAACCCCATGGGTTCATTTATATGCAGATTTTTTTCAATAGTGTATTAAAAAATGTTTTGGAGATTTGCAACAATTTGAAAATCTTGCAGACAAACCATGTAGTGTAGAAACATTTTTTTAATTAAGAAAAAGCTAGGTATGTCATGAATGCATACAATATGTGTAGCCACTAGCCTGGTTTATCATTTATTAGCATAAATATATAAATATATCTATTATAAAAAGTTAGAATTTATCAAAACATATGCAAAAACATTTATAGAGTGTATGGTTGAGAAATATGTAACCAAATATAAAGAGACAGTATTAAATCATAATCACATAAAATTAACTTCAGTGCATACTGTACTACTGTAATAATTTCTTAGCCACCTCCTTTTGCTATTACAGTGAGCGCAAATGTTGTGTATATTCCTTTAAAATTCCATGTGATGTCAATCATCTCCCTGTGAGCGCAGTTAATTTTGTATATGATGTGATGTGGTTCTAAACTCATTCTTCCATGTGCAGATGTACAGATATCCAGTTTTCTCAATGCCACTTATTGAAGAGGCTGTCATTTCCCAAAATCAATTGATGGTAGATGCATGGATTTATTTCTGGGCTCTGTATTTTGTTCCATTGCTCAAAGTGTCTGTCTTTATGCAAGTATTGTGCTGTTTTGATTAATATAGCTTTGTAGTGTATTTGGAAGTCTGCTAGTGTGATACCTCCAGCTCTGTTCCAATGAACTTCAGGATTATTTGGGTTAATCAGGGTTTTTGTGCTTCCATAAGAAATTTAGGATGTTTTTTATATTTTTGTGAAAAATGTCATTGGAATTTTGATAAATATTGCATTGAATCTATAGATCACTTTGGATTGTATGGATATTTTAGCAATGTTAAATTTTTCAGCCGATAAATACAAAATATCTTTTAATTTATTTGTTTTCTTCAATTTCTTGTATTAATGTCTTACAGTTTTCATTGTATAAATCTTTCACCTTCTTCATTAAGTTTGTTCCTAAGTATTTAAATTTTCTGTAGCTTCTGTAAATGGAATTATTTCTTGATTTAGTTTTTGGATAGTTAATTCTTAGTGTATAGGAACACTATTGGTTTTCGTATGTTGATTTCGTATCATGGAACTTTGCTAAATTCATGTATTTATGAATTCTAACAGTTGTTTTGGTGGGGTCTTTGGAGTTTCTATATTTAAGATCCTATTATCTGCAAATTGGGATAATTTAACTTCTTCCTTTCTGATTTTATGCGCTTTATTTCTTTCTATTGCCTGATTGCTTGGCTGGAGCATGAAAAGTATGAAAAATATTTTGATAAGCTGAAAAATTTATCATTGAAAAAGAGGTTTGAGATCCTGTAGTCTGCCGGTTGAATTTACACATGAATAACTTAGACCCAGAAGGGAACAATAGCTTTCTTAATATTGTACAAGTGACTGATAGCAACCAAAACTTACAATCCCACTCTCATTTAGGGTCTTATAGACTTTATACTAACTGAAGCTTTTTGAGTGAAACAAGAAGCCACTAGAGGGTTATGAGCAGAGAAGTGATGTAAACCAATTTATATTTTAAAATAATTACCTTTTTTTCTGGGTAAGAATATAGCATGGAACATTAAATAAGTAGAAGTAGAGAGACATTTGAGGAAATTATAGTGAGAGTTGGTGGTCTCTTGAATCAGAGAGGAATCAATCAATATGGTGAGAAGTAGACACACTTCTGATGTATTTTAAAGGTAGAGCCAACACTATTTCCTAACAGATTAGATATGGTGCATGTAAAAGAGAAGCATAAAATATGACTCCAAATGATTTGTTCTGAGAGACTAGAGAGATGAGCTAGCCATGAAATAACTTGGAAAACCTGTGGGTGACATAGTTTTGTTTTGTTTTGAGGGGGTTTGGGGGGGATGCTTGTTATTGTCTGTCCTTTTTATTTTAGCTATCCTGATGTTGTGGCATGGTTCTGACTTGCGTTTCTTAATTATTAATGGTGTTGAACATCTTTTCTCATGCTAATTGAGGAATGAGTTAACCATGTTAAGCCCAAATTTTCTATTAAATGGTCTGATGATTTATTAAGTATGTAGTTGCATACATGAGCTTAGAGTTCAGATGACAGATCTGGTCTGGGGGTATACATTTGAAGGCCATTAGTGCATTGATGATATTTAAAACTCTGAAATGTATATAATTACTGATATAGTAAATATGGAAAGTTGATAAGTGGACCAAGGACTGAACCCTAAGCAATGCAAGTGTAAGGTCAGAGAAAAGGGATGGAACCAGCATAAGGTACTGAGAAGGAATGGCCTGTAATAGAGGGTGAAAACCAAGTAGGGTCCCTCAAAGCCAATTGAAGAAAGTGAAAATGCAAATAAAAACCACTTCACAAGTAACTAATAGGGCAAATATTGCTGATAAATCAAGTAACATGACATTGCTTATCTCTTAACTAGAAAAACTGGGGTCTTTAGTGTGAGCACAAATTATAGCACATTCTCCCTGATGTTAACAGGAGAAAAGGATACAGACTCTAATAAAATTTCACAGTTACTATCTCACAAAAGAAGTATGTTTCTGATACCAGACAATATGTCTAATACCTACTTTTCATACAGAAGTTAGTAATTCCAAGAACATTTATTTCTCAGAATTTTTTATTAGGGGGTACATGGAGAAAAAATTTAAAAAATAAAAATAATTTACATTTCTGGTTTAATGATTGCTATGTGTCCTTGTACACTATTCCTTTAATGACACACAATTTAAGGTAATTCTCCAATAATTTTGTTTAGCTGAAAGATAATTCATGTGACAAAATTTACCATTTAAATGCAAAATCCAGTGGTTTTTAATACATTCACAAAGTTGCACAACGATCATAACTAATCCAAGAACATTTTCCTTATCCCCCAAAGAAACCTCATACCCATTATGAGTCGCTGCTCTTTGTTTGCCTAATCTTCCCACTTCCAGCCTTTGGCAACCACCAAATTCTTTATCTCTGTGGGTTTGCCTATGCTGAACATTTCATATGCTAGAATCATATATGTGGCTTTTTATGTCTGACTTGGTTGACTTAGCATAATATTTTCAAGCTTTCTCCATATTGTAGCATACATCAGTATTCTATTCCTTTTTAATGACTGAGTAATATTCCATTTTATTTACCTGTTCCTTAGTGGATGGAGTTTTTGTTTCTTTCCAACTTTTTTTCCACTGGGAATGATGCAATAAATACATGTGTAATTTTTCGTGTGTGAGCATACGTTTTTATTTTTCTTGGATATATAGCTAGGATTGGAAATGTTGGGTCATCTGCCAATGCTATGTTTAACATCTTGAGTAACTGTCAATCTATTTCTCCAGAGTGGTTATATCACTGTATGTTTCCACCAACCTTGTACGAGGATTTTAATTTCTCTATTATCCTCCCTCTCAATACTTGTTATTGTCTTTTTTATTTTAGATATCGTGATGTTGTGACATGGTTCTCGTTTGCATTTTTTAATGATTAATGATGTTAAACATCTTTTCTCATGCTAATTGACCTTTTATCTATCATCTTTTAGAGACACCTTATTTCAAATTCTTTGCCCATTTTTAAATTAGGTTATCTGCCCTTTTATTATTGAGTAGTAAGAAATATATATATTTCTTCAGAACATATGTATATGTTCTGGGGGGTAGATATTAAACTTCATGAGATATGTGATTTGCAAATATTTTACCCCGTTCTGTAAGTTGTCCTTTCACTTTCTTGATAACTGCTATTTGAAATACAAAGGTTTTTAATTCTGACAAAGTCCAATTTATCTATTTTTAATTTTATTGCTTTAGCCTTAGATGTCATATCTAAGAAACCATCGCCACATACAAAGTCACAAAAATATTCACTCGTTTTCCTCTAAGGTAATCATAGTTTTAGTAGTTAAATGATTCAAAGCTATTGTCAGTTAATGATTGTATATTCTATGAAGACTCCAACTGCATCCTTTTGCATGCGGATATCCAGTTATTCCATCATCAGTTCTTAAAAAAAATACCATTTCCTCCCTGTTGAGTTGTTTTGGTACCTTTGGCAGAAATCAATTCACCACAAAGTATGCATTTACTTCTGGACACTCAATTCTATTTAATTGATCTGTTTGTCTGTCTTGAGACCAGTACACCCTATCTTGATTAGTATAGCTTTGTAGAAAGTTTTAAAATCAAGACTCTTAACTATTCTGGGTACCATGAATATCCATATGAATTTTAGGATCAGCAGGTAAATTTCTGCAAAAATTCCACCAGGATTTTGATAATAATTACAGTAAATCTGGAGATCAGTATAAAGAACATAGTCACCCCAGGAATATTGTCTTCCAATTCATAAACACAGGATATTTTTCTACTTATTTAGGTTTTAGATCTCTTTCAATAGGTTTTGTAGTTTTCAGTGTATAAGTCTTGCCTTTCTTTTGTTATGTTTATTCATAAGTATGCTCCTTTTTCTATGCTATTGTAAATGGACTCATTGTCTTAGTTTCATTTCAAATTGTTCATTGCTACTGTACATTAATACAATTGGCATTTACTTGAGTGGTTTTACATCAATGGTTCATTACCAGAAACTAAGCAGAAACTTCTTCTTTTCCTTTAATATTTAAATAAAGGTTAGATTTAATTTAAGATCTATATTACTTTGTTTAGTTTATTTCTAATAGAAGGACACATCCTTACCTAATATTATAGGATGCCTGGCTCACTTTCTTACCAGAAAGTTGTGGGGTTTTGTTTTGTTTGTTGTTGCCTTTTGAATTCTGGCAAGAAGATTAGTTATTTGTTATGGAACAAATCTTACATTTCAAATGAAGAATTCCCATCTTTTCCAGACCTGCTTGTCTCTCATTGGAGGCAGACATAAACCCATTTTACTACAGCTGCTAATAATAGTAATGAAAATAAAAATGGGAGAGGGTGCTGGTTTGGAGTGGGGTGTGTGTGTGTGTGGTGTGTGTGCACACACATATGTGGGTAAATACTGATAATTTTTATTTGAATATCACTAACAATTGTCAATCTGAAATTCTAACAGATTTTTTTCCAGTAAGCTACTGAGAATGTGGCTATTTTGAGAAAAGAGATATTTTCTGAATCAGTTGTTTTCTTTAAACAATGTCTAGGTGGATAGACGAAGAATGTGTTTTTTTTTTTTTTTTAACTCCAGTGCACAGTAATGGACTCATTAATTTTGATGGATTACAGAAGAGAGCTAAAAACAAAATAAAACTTATTTTCCTGTTACAAGAAGCTACTGAAATTTTTCTCTTGGACTACTTTAATTTGTGTGTGTGTGTGCGTGTGTGTGTGTGTGTGTGGAGTGTGATGTGCTAACTCCTCGCAACACATTGGACGTGATCCAACAATAACCAATCAAATCAATGCAACTCAGACTGCCATCACAGGACATGACAAGAAATTCTGCTGTCCTTTAGGATGCAATTACCCTGCTGGTTGCTGCAGAGAATGACCTCCTTTACTCTGGTAATTATTGAATCCAGACCTAATGTCTGGTCTCATTTCAAAGTCCCTGTCTGCAATGTCTATCCCAAGGCCAAGTACAGTAGGCAGTGAACCACCACAGCTGCCAAAAATTAGTACTTTGAAGAGCATCTTTGCCAGGAGATTATCATGCCTGTGCCCGTTAGAATCAACATTGCTTTTTCTGGCTCATTTAATGTAAAATGCAATTCAGTTTCAAAGATAAGTACTTTAATTCACAAATGGTTGACAGCAGTAGGATTAGTGTAGGCTATGAACTTAAAAATAGTTTGGGTCTGATTACATGAATTTCTGCACTGAGAAATATTTAACAGGATAGGAACTGATTAGAGGATATTAATATTTGGCTTTATCAGCTCAGGAATAAAGACACACTGAAGGTATGACAATTGAGTAATGAGATTTGGAACTGAAGCCATGATCTTCTATTTCATATTAAGAAACATTTTGAAGAAATAATGTATAGGTTTCATGAAAATTTATGCTGTGATTTATTTTATTAAACTTCTACAGTGATTTATGAGACATTATTGCAAAAAAAAAAAGGTAGTTCAGTTTTTTTCCGTATTTGGCTAGAAGTTAAGTACTCTTGAGTTGAAACTTGGGGGACATGTCCTTATTAAAATGGAACTCATAAGTAATGTTTCTGTGCATTTCCTATAATCCAAACATGCAAGAGAGAACATTTAAATGCCTAGTAATTAAAATGAAAACGTTTTATTTTACTCACAGCCTTTTAACTTTTCAGTTCATCATATTTATAGTTATCATTATTAGACAACTAGAAAAATATAGTTATGTTTGCTATTTATATTACAAACTAAAGACTTTGAATCACTTTGTAGACATGATCTCATTAACACTCTCTACATCTCTGTGAGGTAAGTGCAATTATCTTCATTTTATTGAGTTTAAATTACTTTCCAAGGTGTCACATAAAATTGTGGCAGAAAATGGGAAAAAAATCAAGGTCTCTCAGTGTCCACTCAAATGGTAAATTCTGTTCAAATCAGAAAAAAAATAAATCTAGTTTTAAGTGGACAGGGCATAATTTTCTACACATAGTCATTTGATGTAGCTATATGAGACATAACATTTTGTAGTTATGCCATTTCCAGTATAATTTATCAGCCTGACCCAAATTCTAATGTATTTGTCAAACCAGTATTTTATGTAATGACAGTCAGTCCTAAGTTTTCTGGAAGAAAGTTTTACACCGAGGTGAAAATGAAACTGACTTTCCCTGTAAATGCTGATTTTACTCATTAAAGAAGCTGTCATTGCCTTTCTAATTATTTCTAGTTTCTTCAACCTCTACCATTCAAAGTCACATTTATAATCTAGTGGTGGTTTTCAGACGATTGTTTAAAATGTGTTCTTTATAAGTTAGGGAAAGAAAAGAAAGCTTATCAGTGTTTATCTTGTAGGTTTACTGAATTAGTATCAAATTTTTTGTCCCTAATCTAAATATTTCCTATTCCTATTCCAGACTTTCAAATGTAAGAGATTACAACAAATCCTGTTTCTTCTTTTTATTTTAATTTATTGAGATGGAGTCTCGCTCTGTCCCTGAGGCTAGAGTGCAGTGGCGTGATCTCAGCTCACTGCAACCTCTGCCTCCCTGGTTCAAGCGATTCTCCTGCCTCAGCCTCCTGAGTAGCTGGGATTACAGGCGTGCACCACCACATCTGGCTAATTTTTGTATTTTTAGTAGAGATGGGGTTTCAACATGTTGGTCAGGCTGACCTCGAACTCCTGAACTCATGATCTGCCCACCTCAGTCTCTCAAAATGCTGGGATTACAGGCGTGAGCCACTGTGCCAGGCTGTTCTTATTTTTAAAACACATATATAGCCAATTAATTTTCTACAAGAACGCTGAGACAATTCAATGGGACAAGAATAGTTTTTTCAACTTGCTAATGATAAAATTGGATATCCAAATGTAAAAGAAGGAAGTTGGACCCTTGTCTTACACCGCAGAGAAAATTAACTAAAACTAGATCATAAACCTAAACTTAAGAGCTAACACAAAACTTTCATGCTTGCATTTGGCTGTATTTTTTTTTTGTAATGAGTACATCAAAAGCACGGCCAATGAAAGAAAAATATAAAGCTGCACTTCATCAAAATCTAAAAGAACTTTTGTATATCAAATACCATTATTGACAGAGTAAAAAGTCAACCAACAGAATGAGAGAAAATACATGGAAATCATTTATTTGATAAAGGTTTAATATTCAAATTATAAAGAATTACTATAACTAAAAAGCAAAAAGATAAACCACCCAATTAAAAATAGGCAAAGGGTTTGAATATATATTTCTATGAATAATATATACAAATGACCAATAATCACATGAAAAAATGTTTAACATCATTCATCTGTAGGGAAATCAAAATCAAAACCATGATGAGTTACCATTTCACCCCCATTAGGATGGCAATAATAATAATAGTAATAACAATAAGAATTGATGGGGATGTGGGGAAATGGAACTCTTACACATTACTGGTGGAAATGCAAACTGGCCTAGCCACTGTAGAAAATTGTCAGTTCCTCAAAAAGCTAAACAAAATTATCATGACCCAGCAAGTTCGCTCCCAGGTATATACCCCTAAAAATTGAAGAGAGGGACTCTAACAAACATATAAATCAATGTTGATAGAAACATTCTTCAAAATAGCAAAATGGTAGAAATAATCTGTGTCTATCAACAAATGAATGGATAATAAAAATGTGGTATAATTGACACATGCTGCAACATGGACGAATCTTGAAATTATGATGATAAACAACATAAGCCAAACATAAAAGAACACATATTTTACAATTCCATTAATATAAAATATCTAAATTAGGTAAATCTGTGGAGATGGGAACTAGATTAAAAGTTATCAGGGGCTAAGGGTAAAGAAGAATGGAGAGTTATGGCTTAATGGGTACAGAGTGTCTGTTTGTAGTTGTTTTGGAAAAAAATAGTGATTACAGGTGCATCACATAGTGAATGTAATTAATAATACTAGATTGTAAAGTTAAAAATGGTTAAAGTGTGAAATTTTATCTGGCTTTTTTTTTAACCACATAAAACTCTTATTCTTTAGCATTTCAACCTAAACTAACTTACACAAAGTCCAAGTGAAATACGCACATTTACTTTTAGGTTTTCCAAAATGGATAACTCTTTATTGGCTTTTATAGTTAAAATAAAACGAAGTGTTGAAAGCCTCTCCACTATTTCAACTCTCTCTAAAACATATTTAATAGTTGCAAACAACACACGTTCTACTAGACAGTATGTGGAAATTATTTAGCCAGATACCTGTTACAGATAATAGCAACTGCTAAATTTCTGTCTACATGAAAACCTAAAGTTGTTCTAGGAATAATGTACACAGATCTTAGTGCCTGTCTGTGATAACTGTTTTTGGCTGCTCAGAAAACTTTTCTATGAAGTTCTTTGTTTTATCTTTCCAGAATAGGTAAAGTTGCATGAGGGCTGTGTTACAGTATTTATTTTATTATTTGCATCCACAGAGGCATACCTTCTAGTTCAAAATGCAAAACACAAATACACATATACAAATGTAAGAAAACCTCCTTATTAAAATAAGAGACCTATAGTCATACTTCTTCATAATACAAATGAAAACAATTTTAATTATGCAAATTCTCAGTTTGATTTCAAAAGCAAGCACTTAGAAGTTTAGTAGGGGAAAACCTACATTCTTTTTAAATGAATAATTAGCAAACAACTTATGCAGTTTATTTTAAAGATTTTTAATTTTTAATTGGAATAAAGCATAAGTTAAATATTGTAATCTAAAACTCCTATGCGTAAATGTACATATACATCCAAGTCAAAATTTCCATTAAACAATTAGCAGTACTTCTATATGTGAGGTACTCACACTTACATTATCTTTTCTAGTATATTTCCAGTTCATTTAAAAAAAAAATATCACAGCCTTGAGCCATTAATGGTTCATGACTAGCAATTTGGAAAATACTAAACAAGTGAATTTCTAAAAAGGATCCATGGCATGAAGATAAACAGGGGTGTAGTTAATGAGTGGCTGGCTGTACATCCTTTTCCATCTTGATGCTAAATGGCAGTTACCACAGACTATAGTGATCAACTGAGCTGCTCCTTGTATCTGTACTTTCTTGTAGAAAGGAGAGATTAACCTAGATTCCTAAATACAGTCCATTTTCTGTGAAAAATAAAAGTATTATTCTAACTGGCATTTGAATTCTTCAAACAAAGGGAAATATCTTTGAAAAAATATCTTGAGAAGTGCTACAGTTAGGTCTCTCACAAAGAGTCGGGATGTTAGCTAGTACTGAAGATTCAGAAAAAAGATAAAATAGCAGTGCTGCGAGGTGAAACCCCATCTCTACGAAAAATACAAAAAGAAGAAAAAAACAAATTAGCTGGGCGTGGTGGCGGGCGCCTGTAGTACTAGCTAGTCGGGGAGGCTGAGGCAGGGGAATGGCGTGAACCCGGGAGGCAGAGCTTGCAGTGAGCCAAGATTGCGCCACTGCACTCCAGCCTGCGCGACAGAGCCAGACTCTGTCTCAAACAACAACAAACAACAACAACAAATAAATAAATAAAAATAAATAGTGCTGGATGGTACAATATGATTGCCTCCCTCCCTTCCTTCCTTCCTTCCTGGCTAGTACTGAAGATTCAGAGAACAGAGAAAATAGTAGTGTTTGGTTGGTACGATATAATTCCCTTCCTTTCCTTCCTTCCTCCCTCCCTCCCTCCCTTCCTTCCTTCCTTCCTTCCTTCCTTCCTTCCTTCCTTCCTTCCTCCCTCCCTTCCTCCCTCCCTTCCTCCCTCCCTCCCTTCCTCGCTAGTACTGAAGATTCAGAAAACAGAGAAAATAGTAGTGCTGGTTGGTACAATATAATTCATTCCCTCCTTCCCTCCCTTCCTCCCTTCCTTCCTCTGTGTCTCTGTTACCATGCCTTGTTCTATTTTCCTTATTTCTTCTGCAGGGATAAAACTGGAGGGAAAAAACAAGCAGATAACATACTAAAAAAGATATTCTTTTTCTTGACTTACTGCAATATCTAGGACTTCCAATCGATATTGGATAGAAATAATGAGAGGACAGCTTTACCTTGTTTCTAATCTGAAAAGAAAAAACATGATCTTTAACCCATAAATATCTATAAGTAGGCCCTGTGTCAGATTGATGAAGGTACCTTCAAATCCTAGTTTACTGAGAGCTTTTATTATTAATAGTTGTTGAGATATAGCAAATGTTTATCTATTTTAGTATCATATGATGTATTTCTATCAATATGGTGGATTATGTATACTGATTTTTTAATGTAAAAACAATCTTGTATTTTTTATATGATTCCATCTGGGTCATGATGTATTATCCTTCTTAGTTTGCTGTATTATTTGCATTTATGTTCATGAGGAGTATTGGTATGTAGTTTTATGTTCTATTATTTTCATTGCCTGGTTTTGATATTGCAGCAATATTGGCCTCACAAAATGAATTAAGTGCTTCTGCATTTTTATGAAAAAGTTTTAAGAGTAAGTTATATTTTTGCCTTAAATATTTGGCAGAATTTATCAGAGAAGTCACTGGACTCAAATTTTTATTTGGGTAAAGGTTTTTAACTATGAATTCAATTAGATACCAATAGATGTCATTCTATTTAGTTTCTTATTTCTTCTTGAGTAAATTTTGGTAGTTTCTCTCTTTCAGGGAAATTGTAGATTTTAATTAAGTTAATACATTTACTGGAAATTAGTTATAATATTATTTTTGTCCTTTAAAATTTAAATAAACCTTTAAATAGTTTTATATTTACAGAAAAGTTGCAAAGATGGCACAGATAACTCTTTTCTAACATGAACTATTTCTTATATTGTTAATATCTTACCTTACTATTGCATATTGTCAAAACTAGTGAAATAATATTGATACATTGTTATTAGCTGAAGTGCATACTTTACTTGGATTTCCCTAGTTTTTTCCTAATGTCCTTTTTTATTCTAGTGTCCCATCTAAGATACCATATTGCATTTAGTTATATCTTCTTAGGCTTCTCTAGGCTATAAGGATTTATTAGACTATTTTGTTGTTGTTGCCCTTGACAGTTTTGGGGGGCACTTGTCAGGTGTTTTGTAAAATTTCCCTTAATTTATGTTTGTCTCATGTTTGACCCATGATAAGACTGTGGTTATAGATTCTTGGGAGAAGGACAACAGAGAAAACATGCTACTCTCAACATATCATTCACAGGTACATGCTATCAACATTATTTTTATCACTAATGACATAAACCTTGACCCAAGCAAAATAAGGTAGTATTTTCCAAGATCTCCCACTGTAAAGTTACTCCCACTCTTCTTTCCATACTGTACTATTCATAAAATGATCACTGAAGGTAGCCACTGATATGATTTGGCTGTGTCCCCACCCAAATGTCATCTTGATTAGTAACTCCCACAATTCCCACATGTCGTAGGATGAACCAGTGGGAGGTGATGGAATTATGGAGGCAAATCTTTACTGTTCTGTTCTCATGATACTGAATGAGTCTCATCAGATATGATGTTTTTAAAAATGAGAGTTTCCCTCCACAAGCTCTCTTTTTGCCTGCTGCCATCCATGTAAGACGTGACTTGCTTCTCCTTGCCTTCTGCCATGATTGTGAGGCCTCCCCAGCCACGTGGAACTGTAAGTCCATTAAACCTCTTTTTCTTCTCAGTCTTAGGTGTGTCTTTATCAGCAGTGTGAAAATAGACTAATACATCTATACTTATGGGTACAAAATCATTCTCCATCTTTTTGATGCAGGAATATTTTCATAATTTTTTTGAAAAGTTCTATATAGTCAATTTGTCTCTTTCCGTCTATAGGTTTAATAGAAAATTCCTTTATATCAGTGTGAATTTATGCAGGTTTTTTTTTTCAATTCAATACTACATATTGATTACATTGCTCAAGTTCTTCCAGGTTTTTCTATTGGGAGTTGTTTCAGTAGTTTTATTTGTCATTTTTATATACTTCTGTCATTTTAACTTTTGAGGACTTCCTTATTTCCTGGAACTACAAGATGCATAGAGTCTTAGAATTAGTCATATCTTCAAGGAGCCCCAGTTATTTTATTGAAGAGTGATATTGAAAATATAACTTCTTATTTTTCTATATGATTTATCGTCACAGTTTATTTTGATTTTACTTTATCACTACTACTAGATTACTAATTATACATCTTTGTTTTACTGAAGTTTCTGTGGTTTACAATATGCATCTTTTACTTATCACCTTCTAATTTAAAATAATACCATATTTCTACATGTACACTGTAAGAACCTTAAAGCACACTACTTCCATTCCTTTTGCCTAACTTCTGCTATTAGGTTTAGCCATTTTGCTTCTGTAAATGTTGATAATACCATAGTATATTATTTCTGCTTTATATAATTTAATGTGCAATAATGATTTTTAAAATGGAAATAATTCTATATTTATCCATTTATTTCCTGCTGTGTACATTGTTCATTATTTTTGTGGAGATTCAAACTAGCATGTAGTTTCATTTTCCTTTTGTCTGAAGAGACTCCCTTTAACATTTTATGTGGTTTTTGTTCACTGAAAAAAATCATCTTACCAGAGTTTTGCCTGGAATTATGGGATCATATGGTAATTTTATGGTTAACATTTCGAGAAACTTTGACACTGCTATTTACACATTTGCATTCTCACCAATAATGTATGAGGATTCCATTTTCTCCACATCCTAACCAATACTTTCCTTTTCCTTTTTTTAAGTAGAATTATAACCAACATAGTGGATATGAAGTGGCACCACATTATAATTCTGATTTGCATTTACCTAATTGCTAATGATGTAGAGAATCTTGTCATGCTTGTTGGCCATTTTTACTTCTTCTCTGGAAATATGTCTATCGAAGTTCTTTATGCATTGTTTGGTTGTTTGTCTTTGTATTGGTGAGGTGTAAGTGTTCTTTATAAGTTCTAGAAACTACATCCTTATCAATAATTGTTGATAGCTTTTTTATTATTAATATATTTGCAGGACTTTTTAGTTGTCATAATCTCTAAAGATGTTACTCTATTGCCATATAGATTGCATAGTTTTTGACAAGAAGTCTGGTGTTATTTCTACGTCTCTTATTTTAGTAATACATGTCTTTTCTTCCGTTGCTCTTTCCAAGTTTTCTCTTTTCCACTTTTTTCCATAAATTTGATGTAATGTGTCCTGGTATAGTGTTTTTGTTATTGTTTTTCTTTGTTTGCTGTTTTTGTAATTCTCTTGATGTTCATTTAGTCTGAGCTTCTTGGATTTACAGATTTAGTTTATAACAAATTTTGAAAATTTTCAGCCACTATTTATATAGATGTTTTTATCATTCCCCTGCCTAGCTTTCTTTTTTCTGTAATTCCAATAATATGTATGGTAGACTGTTTTATATTGTCCCACAGATCATTGCTGTTTTTTTTTTTTCAGTCTTTTCTCTCCGTACTTTATTTTAGAACATTTGTTTCTATGTGTTCTATACACTTATTTTTTTTTCTGCAACATTGTACTCTGCTTTTCTGTTCAATTATTTTCATCTCATACTTTATTGCTAAATATTCTATGTTTTAATTAATCTTCCACTTTTGCCTTCATTATGTTCATATTTTCCTTTAAGCTCTTAAATATGTGGAGGGCTTTATAATAACTGAGTTTTTTAACCATTCTTATCAATGAATTACAATTTCTCCATCTTCTCTTTCTGTTTCTACATTTATTTATCTCTCTGTTATGGATCACATTTTCCTGCTCTGTATGCTTTATAATTCTTTAATAGATGGCAGACATTGTTAATTTTACAATTTTGGCATTAGCTTTTTATTGTACTCCTTTACATAATGTTGGATTTGGCATTGACATGCAGTTAAATTACTTTGAATAATATTGTTTCTTTGAACATTTTTCTTTAAACTTTATTAGAACAAATTCAGAGAAGTCTTTAGCCCAGGGCTAATTTATTCTTAATAAGGCAATATTCTTTAAAGAACTCTAAGCAATGTTATGAGTACTATAGATTTTTCCACTTTGGCTGGTTTTAAAACTATTTTCATACCTATGTGACCTCCAAAAATTGTTCAGTTGTCTGTTTTTCAGTGGTTCTTTCTTTTTTCAAATGGGATTTTTCTTAATAATTAACTGATTGGCAGTCAGCCACAAACTCAATAGAATCCCTCTGCAATTCACCTAATCTCTCTTTTTACCACCTTCCTCTCCAGGAATTTGCATTGCAGTCTAATCAACTTGTCTTACCAGACCATTATTTCTCTACTATCAATGCAATCTGACGTTTAGATTCTTTTGGGTTTTCATAATTGCCGTGTGGCCTGACTGTGTTTCCCAGGCAGTAGACTGAAGCAATTATATTTGCGTTGCTCTTCACAGGAATCACAGTCTTCCATTGCTTGTTGTCCAGGATCTAAAAACCATCTATTCTGAAAAGTAATACTTAACATTATTTTTCTGGTTGATTAAGGTAGTAGAGTAACTCTGATCTCTGTTACTCTATTACAGATGGAAATTGCATTAGTCTATTGTCACGCTGCTATAAAGAACTGCCCGAGACTGGGTAATTTATAAAGGAAACAGGTTTAATGGACTCACAGTTCTGCATGGCTCAGGAAACTTACAATCATGGCAGAAGGGAAAGCAAACACGTCCTTCTTCTCATGGTGGCAGGAGACAGAAGTGCAAAGCAAAAAGGGGAAAAGCCATTTAGAAAACTATCAGATCTCATGAGAACCTACTATCATGAGAACAGCATGGGAGAACTGTCCCCATGATCTAATCACCTCCCACAAGTTCCTTCCCCTATCAGGTGTGGGTTACAATAAGGGATTAAAATTCAAGATAATATTTTGGGTGGGGTCACAGCCAAACCATATCAGTAATGAAAGTTTTTGTGTACATCTTTAGTTTGCCCTTATTACTTTTTCAAATTATTCTAATGTATAGTTATAAAACAATTTATTTTTGCAACATCTTGTTGGTAAATATTTGATTGCTTTGACTTTGAGTTATTGTGATGGTTAATATTAAGTGTTGATTGGATTGAAACATGCAAAGTATTGTTTCTGGGTGTGTCTGTGAGGGTGTTACCAGAGAAGATTAACATTGGAGTCAGTGTACTGGGAGAAGTAGACCCACCCTTCAATCTGAGTGGGTACCAGATAATCAGCTGCCAGTGCAGCTAGAATAAAGCAGGCAGAAGATGGAAGAGCAGACTTGCTGAGTCTTCTGGACTTCATCTTTCTCCTGTGCTAGATGCTTCCTCCCCTCAAACATCAGACTCCCAAGTTCTTTAGCTTTTGGACTCTTGGACTTATACCAGTCAGGGGATCTCAGGCCTTTGGCCACAGATTGAAGGCTGCACTGTTGGCTTCCCCGCTTTTGAGGTTTTGGGACTCCTACTGATCCACCATTGACTTCCTTGCTCCTCAACTTGCAGATGGCCTATCGTGGGACTTGACTTTGTGATCGTGCGTGTCAATTCTCCTTAATAAACTTGCCTTCATAAATGAAAATGCAAGCTTCAGACTGGAAGAATATTTGTAATACTTGCATCATTCACAACCAGAGTACATATATATATATATATGTGTATATATATATACACGTGTATATATGTGTATATATATATACGTGTATATATATGTGTGTATATATACGTGTATATATATGTGTGTATATATACGTGTATATATATGTGTGTATATATACGTGTATATATATGTGTGTATATATACGTGTATATATATGTGTGTATATATACGTGTATATATATATGTGTGTATATATACGTGTATATATATATGTGTGTATATATACGTGTATATATGTGTGTGTATATATACGTGTATATATGTGTGTGTATATATACGTGTATATATGTGTGTGTATATATACGTGTATATATGTGTGTGTATATATACGTGTATATATGTGTGTGTATATATACGTGTATATATGTGTGTATATATACGTGTATATATGTGTGTGTATATATACGTGTATATATGTGTGTGTATATATACGTGTATATATGTGTGTGTATATATACGTGTATATATGTGTGTGTATATACGTGTATATATGTGTGTGTATATACGTGTATATATATGTGTGTATATATACGTGTATATATACACGTGTATATATATACGTGTATATATACACGTATATATAAATATATATATGAAAGCAAGTTTATTTGTCAGGGTTCTCTGGAAGGACAGAATAGTATATATATATATAATATTATATATTATATATAATATAATCTACAGTTATTATGAACATAACTGCTAGAAACATTCTTGTCTTTGTGCTTTGATGGGCATATAACTTTTTTAGAAAATACCTAGGAATTAATTTCTCAGTCATAGGAAACCTGTGATTCGTTCTTTCCTTAGGCACTTATTTAGCTTGAGCAGATACCACTAGTTTTCCAAAATGGTTGCAAAAATGTATACTTCTGATACTAATGTATAAAAGTTACAGTTATTTCACATTCTCACCAACATTTTACAATGTCTGTCTTTTTAATTTTAGCTATTCTGTTTGGTGTGTAGGAGTGCCTCATTGTGGACTTAATTCTTATTTGCTGACTCATAATGGTGGTTACCCTATCCTTTCCTTATAAGGTGTTTAAATATTGTCTTTTCGGAAGTGTATGTTCAGGTCTTTTCCTGTTTTTTATGTTTTATTTTTATTTTCTTATTAATTTATGGAAACTAAGTGCTCTGTGAGTGATGCAAGTATTACAAATATTCTTCCAGTCTGAAGCTTGCATTTTTAACTCTTCTAATGATATTATCCCTTTTAATGAAGTTCAGCTTATTAACTTTTTATATTTTACTTATTTAATATTGAGTGCCTTTTATGTCCTGTTTAAGAAATGCTTACTTGCTCCAAGTTTATAATATAATCTTTATGGTGTTTGTATTCAGGAATCTCCAGATAAATAGAACCAATAGAATAAACATTTGCATACAAAAGGAGATTTAAAATGTGAATTGGCTCCTGTAATCATGGATGGCCTGGGAAAGAAGGGAGTGGAAAAATGGTCTAAATCTCAGAATCTGAAGGCCTCTATACCTGGAACTCTAATGTCTATGAACAAAAGAAGATGGATATCCCAGCTACAGAGAGAAAGCTAATTCTTCCTTCCTATGCCTTTTAATTCTATTCAGGTCCTCAGTAGATTGGATGGTGTCCACCCGTGTTGTTGAGGGCAGATCTTTACTCAGTCTTTGATTCAAATGCTAATATCATCTGGAAACACCTTCACCGGCACACCCAGAAATAATGTGTTACCAGCCATCTGAATATTTCTTGACACAGTAAAGTTGATACATAAAATTAACTATCACAGTGTTCTTCTAGAATAGACATACAATTAGTTTTTGTGTATGGTTTAAGGTAGGGAAATTCAACAAACAAAACTTGTATGTTTTTCCGTACAGGTATGCAGTTGAATCAGCATCATTTCTTTCTTTCTTTCTTTCTTTTTTTTTTTTTTTTTTTTTTTTTTTTTTTTTTTTTGAGGCAGAGTCTCGCTCTGTCGCCAGGCTGGAGTGCAGTGGCGTGATCTTGGCTCACTGCAACCTCTGCCTCCTGGGTTCAAGCGATTATCCTGCCTCAGCCTCCCAAGTAGCTGGGACTACAGGCACATGCTGCCACACCCAGCTAATTTTTTTTTTTTTTTTTTTTTTTTTTGTATTTTTAGTAGAGATGGGGTTTCACCATGTTGGCCAGGATGGTCTCGATCTCTTGACCTTGTGATCTGCCCACCTTGGCCTCCCAAAGTGCTGGGATTACAGGCATGAGCCACCGCGCCCGGCCCATCATTTCTTTATTCATCATAATGTCACTTTGCTTGTATATCATCTGCCTTTATATATGCAGATCATTATCAGGATTCTATCCTTTTCTTTGGATGGTTTGGTTCACCTTGTGCTAATATCACACTCTTGGTTATAAAAGCTTTATAATTGTTTTTCATATCTAGTAGTGTAAATCTTCCAGATTTCTTTTTATCCCTTCAACATACTTTGGCTGTTTTTGACCTTAATTTTATCCAAGTTAGTTTGACAATTTTTTTCAAAAGTAATTTTTATTGCAATTGCATTGCATCTACAGATACATATCGGGAGAACTGACATATTTAAAGTGTTGAATCTTTCAATCCATGGGCTTAGCATATCTTCCGTTTATTTAGATCTACTACAGTATTATCAAAAGCCTGTCATGATTTTGATGCTTTGTACATTTTTTGATTTTTCCTTTTTCGGTTTGGATACAGAAATGTGATTGATTTTTATACTGATCTCAATTCAGTGATCTTTAAAAATTACTTATTAATTTTGATTATTTGTTTATAAACTCTTGCATTTTTAGGTACATACTGATAGATTCAGGAATAATAATACTATTATTTCCTTATAACTTGTGGTTGGTTTTTCTTTCTTCATTCCACTAGCTACATCATTTAGCTCAATGTTGAATACAAGTGATAATAACAGGATTTCTTGCATTATTAGCAGTTTCAGAAAGAAAAATTTCAGTATTTCAACCTTGCATGTGTTCTCTGCCTTAGGATTTTTAAGATATTCTTTATTAAATTATAAAGGTTTTTTTCTATTCCTATTTGATAAGTTACTCCTATTGTTTGTATTCTAAATCAGTGTTTAATTTTGCCA
This sequence comes from Homo sapiens, assembly GCF_000001405.40. Classification (NCBI taxonomy): domain Eukaryota; kingdom Metazoa; phylum Chordata; class Mammalia; order Primates; family Hominidae; genus Homo; species Homo sapiens. The sequence goes on along the minus strand of NC_000002.12, from coordinate 22,096,693 downwards.
AATGCTTCATTCTGCATCTATAGAAATGATGATGTAATTTTTCTACTTGTTTTATCTTGTGTCTGCAATATCCTGGGAAGTGTTGGGTGGGTAGGATAGGATGCCTTATGTTCTTCAGTTCAAATTGAAAAATTTCCTCTCCTCTAAAACTTAGTTTATTATTTTCATATTGCTCTCTTAGTATTTGCATATTAAAAATATATTTTTAACAAAAGTAACCAGACCTATTTGTTATAGTGGCAACCATGACCTGACAAAGCCTACTGCATATTACCTTAAATGTATGTTTTATCTTTTTTTCAAAAATTTGTGTTTTGATTCATTAAATTTTCTGGTTTTTGTTTATGTTTTACATCATGAATTTCAGTTTTGTCTTTACTGTTGTTTAATGCTGTCTTTTTAATATATATTGAAAATTTAGGTGCTCTAATTTTTACATATGTTTTAAATCATTCTTATGATTTTATCATGTATATTATTACAATATATAATGTTTTCAGTATCATTATCTTTAAAAGATTCTACAATATTATTTCTATTTCCACTTTCACTAGAAAGATTTAATAATAATAATTTAGCATACTTACATGATAAAGGTATTTAACTATTTTGTTACTGGTTTCTGGTTTTATTGCATAGAGATCAAAGATATTAGTGATATATATTCTACTTCATGGAATTTATTGATGTTTTCTTTGTGGTATGTTAAATAGTTAATTTTTATTTATACTTGGTATATTATTACGTTTTAATATATAAGAGCAAAGTTATTGATTATAATTTTGTTTTATGCATTATTATTTATTTATTTATTATCCAGTCGAGTTGACTGAGACTGGGAATAGTATGCTAAAATTTCTTATTGTTTTGTTCTTTCTATTTGTAGCTTTAGTAATTTCTACTTTATGCTATTTAGTGTTGATTTACTTCTAGTAGTGGCAACTGCATTGCAAATGTTGGCCTTTACAAGGTGTTCTTTTTGGTCTAATTTAAAACATTTTGCCTGATTTTCTTTTGTCTTCTTTCATTTTATATATTTGCCTGACCTTTGCTCATTCATTTAGTTTTAGTTCTCGGAATCACATTGCTTTATGCGAGTATCTTTTATATTGCCTTTTTTATGAGCCAATCTGAATTTCTTTTTTCTTTTAGGAGGAATTTAAAATGTTGTCGTTAAATCAACATTTACATTTGTTGATATACCTGATATGTGGAGTCTAAATTATGTCTTATTCTCCTGTTATTTTTCTGTGTCACACTCTTTGTGGGAATACATGTCTTTATGTTTAACAACCTTATAAGGTATGTTTGATGTATACAGAATCGCACATTTTTAAGGTGTATAATTTGATGAGTTTAGACATATGTCAACATGACAAGATAACAGACATATCCAACACCTCTCAAATTTTCATTGTGTCCCTTTTTAGAAATTTAAAGTGTTTTATTTTTAATTTTTTTTAGTATATGATAAAAACATTTAACATGTGACCTACTCTAGAAAATTTTTTAAGTGCACAATATTGTCTTGTTAACTATAGACATTGTTATAAAGCAGATGTTTAGTACTTATTCATCTAACATAACTAAAACTTTATACTCATTGAACAACCTCTCTCTGCTTCCCCAACCCCAGCTCCTGGCAACCACTATTGTATTCTCTACGTAGGTCTAAGAGTTTAAGTATTATAGATACATCCTAAAAGTGGAATTTTGCACTATATGTTCTTCTGTGACTTATTTCATTTATAATGTCCTCTAGATTAATCTGTGTTGTCACAAATTACAGGGTTTCCTTCTTTTGAAGGCTGAATAACATTAATATTCCACTGTATTAGCTTCATGGACTGGAATACCTAACGGCCCAACCATCTGGGCACAGAAGGCTTGGGACAAAGCTAGTTTGGTGGGCTAGATGCTAGGGCAGCCACCAGAATGAGACCCAGTTGAGGGAGAGCAAGCTGGGTGATCCCCACAGCTGTTTGCTGGGCCAAAACACCAGGCTGTGGGTGCCATGTCAGCTGCACACCCACAGCAAACACACTGCGTGAGGAAATCCACTGTCCTTGACCTCCTATATCAACAGACCACCTACAGGTATACTCTAAAAGTTGTTCTGACTTTGCCAAGCATGCTGCAGGTCCTCTGATGACCTAATTTTTGATTAGGGCTACCCCTAAACAACAGAAGAGCACAGCCCACCAGAGCTCCCCTTGGGGCTACGGAAGTGCAGACACTGTGCCAGCGATTGGAGGGGACTCCCCAAAGACCCAGAATGGACCTGGCAAGGGGGTCATTTTCTACCCCGATCTCATCCACCACAGGGCACTGCTGCTAATGTGATGAAATACAACAGCCCTGTGACAGTTAGACCCTATTTGCTGACCATTACTCTCAAACATCGTCTACTGGATCTTAGCCTGAATTACAAGACCAAAAAAATTATTCCGGTATACATCACTTGTGAAAAACCCAATCCAAGTATCTAGCCACAGATAAAGATCCCAAACAAAGCTTATTTGTTTTGGGGTGATTTCAAAGGGCCGAAGCTTTGTTTGGGATCTTTATCTGTGGCTAGATTCTTGGTTTGGGCTTTTCACAAGTGATATATACCGGAATAATATGTTTGGTCTTATAATTCCGGCTAAGATCCAGTAGATATAAATGATCTAAATGCCCCATGTAGAAGGCATAAAGTGGCAAGCTGAATGAAAGACAAGACCCAATTGTCTGCTGTTCTGAAGAGACCCATCTCACATGTAGTGACCCATCTTACACTTACCAGTTCAGAGTGAAGGGATGGAGAAAGATCTGTCATTCAAATGGGAAAAAAAAATACCAAGGGTTGCTATTCGTATATCACATAAAACAGACTTTAAGCCAACAACAGTAAAAAAGGAAAAAGAAGGGCATTGCATAATGATAAAAGTTTCCATTCAATAAGAAGATTTAACTATACTAAATATATACATACCCAGCACTGGAGCACCCAGATTCATAAAACGAATTCTTCTTTACCTACAAAAAGACTTCAACAGCTGCACAAAAATAGTAGGAAGTTTTAGCACCTGACAGACTGCATTGAAAGATCATCAAGGCAGAATCCTAACAAGTTCTAGATTTGAACTTGACTCTTGACCAATTAGACCTAATAGACATCTAAGCATATTCCACTCCCAAAACAGAATATACACTCGTCTTCTCCTCTCACAGAACATACTCTGTGATTGACCATGCTCAGTCATAAAGCAACTCTCAATAAATTTTTTTTAAAAAATCAAAACCTTACAAAGCACACTCTCAAGCCATAGTATAATAAAAATAAAAAAAAATACCAAGATGATGTCTCAAAACCACACAATGACAAAGAAACTAAACAACTTGCTCCTGAATGACTTTGGGCAAATAATGAAATTAAGACAGAAATCTAAAAATTATTTGGAATTAATGAAAACAGTGATACAACATACCAGAATCTTTGAGATACAGCTAACATAGTGTTAAGAGGAATATTTATAGTGCTAAATGCCTTTATGAAGAAGTTAGAAAGATCTCAAGTTAGGAATCTAGCATCACACCTAGAGCAACTAGAAAAATAAAACAGGAGAAAACCAACACCATAGCTAACAGAAGAAAAGAAATAACCAAAATCAGAAAAGAAGAAACTGAGTTCCAAAAATCTGTGCAAAACATCAACAAAACTGAAGTTATTTGAAAAAATAAACAAGATTGATAGACCACTAGCCAGTTTAAAAAGGGAAAGTAAAAGAGAAGGGCCAAATAAGCACAAGCAGATATGACAAAGATGATGTTATAACTCATCCTTCAGAAATACAAAAGATCCTTGGGCACTATTATGAATACCTCTATGCATAGAAATTAGATAATCTAGAGAAAATGAATACATTCCTGGAAACACACAAACTTCCAAAATTAAACCAGGAAGAAACTGAAAATTTGAACAGAACAATAATGGGTTCTGAATTTACATCAGTAATAAAAAATTACCAACCAAAAAAAGCCCTAGACCAGATGGAGTCTCAGCCTAATTGTACCAGACGTGTAAAGAAGAACTGGTATCAATTCTACTGAAACTATCCCAGCAACTTCAGGGGGTCTCCTCCGTAACTAATTCTATGAATCCAGCATTATCTTAATACCAAAATCTGACAGAGACACAACAAAAAAAGGAACTTCAGCCAATATCCCTGAAGAACATTGACACAATAATCTTCAACAAAATACTAGCAAGCTGAATCCAGTAGCACATCAAAAAGTTTATTTGCTAAAATCAAGTAGGCTTTATTCCTGAGATACAAGGTTGGTTCAACATATGCAAATCAATTAATGTGACTCACCACATTAACAGAATTAAAAGATTCAAAATCATATGATCATCTCAATAGATGTATAAAAAACCTTTGATAAAAATCCAACATCCCTTCATGATAAAAACCCTCAACAGACTAGGCATCATAGAAACATACCTGAAAATAACAAGAGCTATCTATGTCAAACCCACAGTCAACGTCATACTAAATGGATAAAAGCTAGAAACATTCACCTTGAGAACTGGAACAAGACAAGGATTCCCACTTGCACCACTCCTGTTCAACATGGCCAGTCCTGGAAGTCATAGCCAAAGCAATCAGTCAAGCGAAAGAAATAAAAGGCATTCACATAGGGAAAGAAGGGGTCAAACTATATTTGCCGATGATATTTTATACCTAGAAAATCCTAAAGACTGCCAAATGCTCTTGGGATGAATAAACTAGTAAAAATTCTGGATATAAAATCAATGTACAAAAATCAGTAGCATTTCTACAAACTAATAGCGTTCAAGTTGAGAGCCAAATCAAAAATACAATCCCATTTATAATGATCATAAAAAGAATAAAATAGGAATAAATCTAACCAAGGAGGTGAAAGATCTCTACAAAGAGAACAACAAGACACTGCTGATACAAATAGAAAATGACACAAATAAAAGGAAAATTACTCCATGCTCTTGGATTGGAAGAATCAATGTAATTAAAATGGTTGTACTGCTTAAAGCAATTTACAGATTCAGTGCTATTCATATCAAACTACCAATATCATTTTTTACAGAATTAGAAAAATCTATTCTCAAATTCATATGGAAAAAAAAAGGATCCCAAATAGCCCAAGAAATTCTAAGCAAAAAGAACAAAGCCAAAGGCAACACATTGCCCAACTTCAAACTATAGTACAAGGTTACAGTAAACAAAACAGCATGGAACTGGTACATAAATAGATACACAGACCAATGGAACAGAATAGAGAGTCCAGAAATAAACTAGCGCACCTACAACCAGGTGATCTTCAACAAAGTCTACAAAAAAAAGCAATGGAGAAAAGACTACCTATTTAATAAATGATTCTGGGATAACTGACTAGCCATATGCTGAAGAATAAAACTGGATCCCTACCTGTCACCACATACAAAAATTAAGATGAATTAAAGACTTAAATGTAAGACCTTACACTATAAAAATCCTAGAAGAAAACCTAGGAAATACCCTTCTTAATATCAGCCTCAATAAAGAATTTATGGCTGTTATCAAAAGCAATTGTAACAGAAACTAAAATAGACAAGTGACACCTCATTAAAGAGCTTCAGCACAGCAAGATAAACTATCAAGGGAGTAATTAGACAACCTAAAGAATGCGAGAAAGTATTCAGAAATTAGACATCCAACAAAGGTCTAATATCCAGAATCTTTAAGTAGCTTAAACACATAAACAAGCAAAAAATAACAGTATTAAAAAGTGGGCAAAGGACATGAACAGATATTTGTCAAAAGAATGCATACAAGCAGCCAACAAATATATGAAAAAAATGCTCATCCCCACTAATCATCAGAGAAATATAAATCAAAACCACAATGAGACGCCATCTCACATCAGTCAGAATGGCTATTGCTAAAAGGTCAAAAAATAACAGGTGTTGGTGAGGCTGGAGAGAAAAGGAAACACTTATACATTGTTTTCTGGAATGTAAATTAGTCCAACCACTGCACAGAGGAGCTTGAAAATTTCTCAAAGAATTTAACTACCATTTGAGTCAGCAATCTCATTACTGGGTATATACCCACAGAAAAATAAATTTTTCTATCAAAAAGACACATGCACCCATATGTTCATTGCAGCACTGTTCACAATAGTAAAGACTTAAAATCTACCCATGTGCCCAAAACAGTGGACTGGGTAAAGAAATATGATTTATATATACCATGGAATACTGTGCAGCTGTAAAAAATGAAATCATGTGCAGCATCATGGATGCAGCTGGAAGCTGCTATCCTAAGTGAACTAATGCAAAAATAGAAAACCAAATACTGCATATTTTCACTTATAAGTAGAAGTCAAACACTGGGTACACAGGAACATAAAGATGGAGACAGTGGACATTAGGGACTACTAGATGGGTGAGACATGGAGTGGGGCAAGGGCTGAAAAACTGCCTATTGGGTACTATGCTCACTACCTGGTTACCAGATTTATTCATACTTCAAACCTCAGCATCATACAGTATACCTTTGTAATAAACCTGGACATGCACCCTCTGATTCTAAAACAAAAGTTAAAAAAAAATTCCACTGTATGTATATACCACCATTTCTTTAATCATTCATCTGTTGATGGACACTTAGGTTATTTCCATATCTTGGCTATTTTAAATTTATATATACCTCTTCAGGATCCTGATTACAAATTTTTGGACATATGGCCAGATATGGGATTGCCAGATTATATGGTTATAGTGGTACAAATATGTATATGACTCATGCAATCACAAGGAAAGGTCCCACGATAGGCCGTCTGCAAGTTGAGGAGCAAGGAAGCCAGAGGTGGATCAGTAGGAATCCCAAAACCTCAAAAGTAGGGAAGCCGAGAGTGCAGCCTTCAATCTGTGGCCAGGGCCTGAGATCCCCTGGCAACCACCGGTGTAAGTCCAAGAGTCCAAAAGCTGAAGAACTTGGGAGTTTGATGTTTGAGGGCAGGAGCCATCCAGCACTGGAGAAAGATGAAGGCCAGAAGACTCAGCGAGTCTTCTCTTCCATCTTCTCCTGTGTGCTTTATTCTAGCCGTTCTGGCAACTGATTAGATCGTGCCCACTCAGGAGAAATGGGTCTGCTTCTCCCAGTCCACTGACTCAAATATTAATCTCCTTTGGCAACACCCTCACAGACATACCCAGAAAAAATACTTTGCATCCTTCAATCCAGTGAAGATGACACTCAATATTAACCAAAACAGTGAATGTAGAGGTCAATTTCTTTCTCCAGATTTGAGAAGATTTTTACCATGATTTAAAAAAAAATAAGTTTTCTAATTCTTTCTGTCTCTTTTCTCCTTCTGGAATTCCTATCATACATACATGGGTTCACTTGTTTGTGTCCCATAAGTTCCATAGAATTTCTTCACACTATTTTTTTTTCTTTTTCTGTGATTGGATAATTTTAAATGACCCATCTGCAAGTTTGCTGATTCTTTCTTCTGCTTGATTGAGTCTTTTGAAGTTCTTTTTTGATGTAGTCAGTTTAGTAATTGTGGTATTTGACTCAAAAATTTCTGATTCTTTTATTATTTCTATCTCTTTGTTGATATTTTCATTTTGTTCATGTATCATTTTACTGATTCTATTTATTTGTTAATCTGTGTGCTCTTGTAGCTGAGTTTAAGGTAATTATTTTGAATTCTTCATCAAACAATTAATTATTTCTTTAGGCTCAATTACTTGAGCTGGATTTTGTTCCTTTAGTAGTGAGTTCTTCCCCTGATTCTGTATTTTCTTTGTCTGATCCTGTGTGTATTTTATTTACTGTGTTTCTGTGGTCTTTCTCTGTCCTTTCTTCTGTCTTTCAGTCTCCATCTCTGCCTTTTTCTTTACTTTCATCCTTGCTCTCACTGTTACTTTCACTCTTGTGCTCAATCTCTTTCTTGAGTGGTTGATGTCTTTCTTTTTTGCTCTCTCCCTTAAAAAGAAAAACAAAAAGCAAAAAACTTTTTAATGTTTTGAACTGTGTATGTGTGTGTGTGTGTGTGTGCACTGATTTACATATCTATGGTTAATTTTATTTTAAAAATACTGTTCAAAATGCCCTTAGTGCCCCTTTTTTTTTCTTTTTGTATCTATGTTTTTCGTGTTTAGCTTATCCGATTAATTTTTATCATTTGGTTTTAATCTGTTTATGCAATAACAATGAACTTATTCTATTTTCTTCTTTCTTGCTCAATTCTCCTCTCGTTTGTTTCTACTCCTCTTTTATTTATTTATCTTATTTATTTCTACTCATCTCATTTATTTCTCTTCATCTCCTCTCATCTTATTTCTACTATAGTGGAATCTTGTTTCTACTATATAAAATTTTTTCATTTTTTTACTCTTCTTTCACTCTTGTTATTTTTTTAAATTTTATATTTGCAATTAAATGTATTTGTTTGCTTACTATCATTTAATTTGCCAAAGCTTTTGTGTTATCTCTTGTTGGATAAATTTTATTCTTTAATAGATTTCTCAGAAAAGGCTTATGAGTTCAGGTATCGCGTTGGTTGTACATGTCTATTGTCTTGATATCTTATTAGTAGCTTGGCTAGTTTGAAAATTCTTGCACTTTGTTTTCTATTTTACTCTATTTCTTCTTGCTCATATGCTGCTGTCTAGAAATTTGATGTTAACTTCATTTTCTTCTTTTTGTAAATGTCTTAGTCTTTTATGCTTGAAGCCTCCAATAACGTTTACTCTTTTATTTTTAGAGTCCACTTATTTTACTAGACTATATTTTGGGGTTGAGTGTTCCTTGTTAACTTTTTTTAGTAATAGGTCCATTTATTATGGAGATTCAGGTTTTCTTTTTATTAATGGGTAGTTTTCCTGAAATATAATTTAAAATATTAATTTTCATTGTTTTGTTTTTCTTCTAAAAGAAATTTCATGTTACTTTTCCCTTTTTTCTATATTTATCATTTACCATCTGATGCATTTTATCTAGTTTATGATTTTATTTGTGTTTCTTGACTCTTTTCATAATACTTCTCAATGTCCGTTAGTAGATTTTTATTTTTATGAAATCTACACTAACTGGTTTATTTTGTAATTTCTGATTGATTACTGAGTTTATTTTTGCCTTTTCTGTCTCAGTGTACACAATTGTCATTTCATATCTTTTTTTCTTATTTCTTCCCTCTTTGATTTATTAATTCATTTATTTTAAAAATATCTGCTTCAGAATGCTCTTGTTTTCTGCAGTTGCTCGTTTTAAGTTACTTAGTTTTTCGTAATTACTGTTACAAGTTTTTGCCATTGTTTGTTTTGTTCTGCTTTGTTGTGTCTTGGGGTAATATTTTCTTCAGCTGAAATGTTTTACTTCTCATCTTGTGTTTTATTTTTATAGCAGCATAGTAAGAATGCTACTTTCTATTTTTGCTCATTTTAAAATGTCTCATATTTTCTAGGACTGGCAGTAGAAAATGTCTCTATGCCAACTAGGGTGAGGAACTTCATTGTGTTAGTATGTTTCTCACATAGAAGGTGTTCTTGTCTGTTAGTAAAGTGAAACAGAGTTCATCCACTGGATGGCAACTTTCTTTGTGATGGGAGATGTTGATGTGCCTTATTATTTTTTATCTTTTTATTTTCTTAATTGTCTATTTTCTTTGTTTTTTCTTGCATATCCTGCTTCCAACTGACGCCTTCTGTTAAGTTACCTCACTCTTTCCTGGCAGCAATAGTTTCCCAAGACTGCCAACTTCTCTTCCTTGGTAGTTAGCATTCTGGTCAATGAAGCTCTAGGCATCAGTATTACAATGTTTAGCCAGTTTTCACACACTGTATGCCTCATCTATGTAAGTATATCTACTGCACATGCTAAAAATAATGTACTTCCTGTTTCATTAGTGAGATTTCAAGGTTCGTTTATTTATTCAAGTAATATATGCTGACAATTTACCATACTAATGAGGGATAATAAGTAAAATGAATCCCCAAACTTACATTCTAGAAGATCCAACTAATCACCTAAATAGTTGTAAGTGCCATAATATTTATTTTAGAGGCCACAGCTAAAGTTAGTTGCCTTAGTTCATACACACTTTCTGGAGGAAACAGAAGTATTAATTAAGCAAAGAGATAAGAATAAGGATGCCACAGGCAAGACAAAACAACAATTGGATCTCACACTCAACAAAATTCAGAATGAATGTTTATTTGATGTGTTATTTGTACTACATTTTATAATTGCACTACAGTATAAATATTTTGAAGAATAAATCATCTTTTGCAAGTTGATATCACAAATCATTTTCAAATGGATTTAGATAATAGTTTGAAGACACTTTCTCCATCAAATTCAATTAATAAATCAGTTGCTTTAAATGTTGTGTTTGCAAACATTTTAAAATGCTTTTCTTTCTAACATTATTGTCTTTCCTTAATAAATTTGTTATTTTTGACATCTCTCTAAAATTCTCTGAAATACAAGAACACTGGATACATCTAGTTTTGCTTTGGTTGTTTGTTTGTTTTGTTTTGTTTTTACATTGAGTCTCACTTCGTCACCCAGGCTGGAGAGCAGTGGTGCAATCTCAGCTCACTGTAACCTCCACCTCACAGGTTCAGGCAATCTTCCCACCTCAGCCTCCTGAGTAGTTGGGACTGCAGGCATGCACCACCACACCCAGCTAATTTGTGTGTGTGTGTGTGTGTGTGTGTGTGTGTCTGTGTGTGTGTACGTATGTGTGTGTGTGTGTGTGTATATATATATATATTTTATTTTATTTTATTTTTTTTTAGTGGAGATGGGGTTTTGCCATGTTGTCCAGGCTGGTCTCGAACTCCTGACCTCAGGTGATCCACCTGCCTCGGCCTCCCAGAGTGCTGGGATTAAAGGCGTGAGCCACCGCACCCAGCCTCATCTAATTTTTTTTCTTTCTGTTTTTGTAAGAAATATGTCAATTTGGCTCTGTCTTCGCCTTAGAGACTTAGTTCAAATGTGAGATAAGCAGTGGAATCAGAAAAGCATGACATCAATTATTAAATTAATATCCACAGTCTAATATAGTACAGTGAATCCAGAAATATAATTTAACATTCTGAACTTGGAAGAGTTATTTACTATATGTTAAAATATTTTAAAAATGTATTCAGGATGATGGTGAACCAAGCATGGATTCTGAGGACTCTCCATTTGAAGCCATCTGCAAATTTATCACAGCTCTTGGAACAAATTTTAGTATAACATTACTTTTTGTCTATAGTAAGCTAACATTCATCCTATAGTACCTCCAAAATTATGCACATGCTCATACTTTTTTCATTCTTAGTAATGATGTTTTGGTTCTCATTACCTTAGTTTTTAAATGATAAATTCTCATTCAAATCTAGTTCAAATTTCTTCTCTATGCAAAGTGATGGTGCCACCTTCCATGATTCAGCATTTAATACATTGCTTGGCAAATAATCATTTCATAAATATTGAACTAAAACTTTAACGTTTTATTTCCTTTCAAAATATAAGCAAAAAAGTTATAAAATGTTGCAACCTACATGTAACCTGATTTAGAGTAAACAGATATAAATACTGTGATAATTTGCTTCAGAATTTTTTTCTTCTTCAGAAAGCGACAGAGAAAAATCAAAATTGGAACTAAATCTTGTATGCTCCCATCCACAGGTATAACTCCTCATTTTTCTCAGATGAAACCATTATGAATTTGATGAATATTCTTCATTCTGTATTATGTTCTACTACATATGTGTGTTTTATATAGTATTGTTTAGTATTTTAGCTTATGAAATACTAAATAAGACATATAGAATGATAAATGAATTATTTTTAATTTATTTTAAGACTTTTATACTATTTTAAGGTTAATAGTATCTATGTAAAATTTATTAATTTTATTTCTATAATGTATAACATATAAATATACATTTTTATGCATTCCTTTGTTGATCAAATTTTGTTACAGGCGTGGTAGCTTATGCTTGTAGTCCTAGCTACTTGGGAGTTGGAGGCAAGAAGATTGCTTGAGCACAGGAGTTTGAGGCTGTGGTGAGCCATGATTGTGCCGTTGCACTCCAGCCTGGGCAACAGATTAGGACCCTGTTAAAAAAAATAAATTGTTAGATTTTCCTATTTTTTTCTTTGTTACTAAATATTAAGCAATACTACTCATTAAGTACATCTCTATGTGCAAATATACAAGATTTTCTCTAAAAAATTTACTGATTAAATTAGTTAAATATTGGTTAAATTGTTAAGTCATAGATTATTTGCATTTTCAATAATAGTTTTTCCATCATTACCTTTCAAACGCATTTATAACATAGAACACCCCTAAGCTGCATATAGGGAGGAGCTTTTCTTTAAACTCATCCTTGCCCATACAAGTTATTTTGAATTTTTTCGCTAAGCTTATTTCATATGACACCTGTTTCTTTAAAAATATATTATCGGCCGGGCCGAGTGACTCACGCCTGTAATCTCAGCACTTTGGGAGGCCAAGGCGGGCGGATCACGAGGTCAGGAGCTCGAGACCATCCTGGCTAACACGGTGAAACCCCATCTCTACTAAAAATACAAAAAATTAGCCGAGCGTGGTGGCGGGCGCCTGTAGTCCCAGCTACTGGGGAGGCTGAGACAGGAGAATGGCGTGAACCCGGGAGGCGGAGCTTGCAGTGATCTGAGATTGAGCCAATGCACTCCAGCCTGGGGAACAGAGCCAGAATCCTTCTCCAAAAAAAAAAAAAAAAAAAAAAAAAAGTTATTTTAAGGTTAAAACTTGTTCATGTTTATTGTACATATTACTTGCCCTTTTTAAAAATGCACCTTTTTAATTTGTAGGAATATATTTATTTATTCTTTTAAAAATGTATTCATTGAATGCATCCCATGTGGAAAGCAAATCACTGTTACAGATTATAATCTTACAGCCACTAACAAGATGGAGTCCCTGTACTTATAAGTCAGTACTCTGCTGAGAGAAAATAATACTGTGAAGAGCTGAGATTTAAAGTGAAAGTGCAAATCTTAGTAATTTCTTAAGAAACAACATTCCAGAAAAAAAAAAAAAAAAGAAAAACGTGAAGTATAAAGATTTCAAGTGGGGATGTGGTGGCCTTTCCCAGGAAGAGCAAAGACTATGACAGGTGACAAACAGTGATTATGGAGAAGTGTTAGGGTTACGATGGATATGGTGACCACACTGGATTTTAAGTGTGTTGAGAAATCTTTGGTAAATTTTGATGAGTGAACTTTTACCTGTTTGCATGTTAAATAAATGGTCCAGATAAGTAGCTTTCAACAGGGAGTGATTATTCCCCCCAGTAAATATTTGGGAATGTTGGAATATATATATATACACACATACACGTGTATGTATATATATATGTACTTACATATATATATATGTGTGTGTATATATGTATTTTATATATATATATATATATATATATATATATGTGTGTGTGTGTGTGTGTATATATATAATTTCAAACAGGCGGGTTCCTGTGTTGTCTAGTTAGCAGCGGGGAGTTACAGCTAAATATCTTACAATGCTCAGGGCAGACTCTCCCCAATAGTTATCTAGCCCAAAATGTTAATAATGCTGAAGTTGAGAAGTCTGTCCTACTCCTATATCAATGTAAAAGCAGTATATTGATTGTGGATTTTCTCTATTAGGGTGAGGAAATTACTAATTTGCTGATTTTTTTTTCTTTTTAGTTTGCCTTTGTTGATCTCTAGATTTATTTTTCTATATGAAGTTAAAATTCAACCTATTTAGGAAATTATTTCATGGTAATTTTTGAGCAACTTACAGTTTTGTGACATGGCAGCTTTCTTCCTATCCAAAATATTGGGTGGTTTTTATTTTCTCCTAAAAATTATTTTGTCTTTTATTTCAGTTGTTTTGTAGTGTGTCTTCTTTAACTTTGGTCTTTTCTTCACTTATTCTTATATATATGTGTGTGTATATGCATATACGTATGCATATATAGATATGTGTATACAAATATGTATATCTGTATATATACAATCTCTACAAATGACCTCCTGAATAAGTGGTATTTGGAGTAGGTAGTGACACAGCTGCTTTTAACTACTGTATTAATGATTTCTGACCTTCTTTGTCACATTCTCTTTGGGCATGTATGTGGAAAACAATATGTGGTCTTCTTAATCATTCCATGGTGCGTTTTTCAAATCCTCCATCTCCCTACCACCTCTCTAGTTTCTGAGTAGTAATTCTGTTTTGTTTATAATCACTACTGTTGTGAGAAATACTGTTGACAAAGCATGCATAAGCTAATGAAGTGATGATAAAGTCATTGTGGCACAGAAGGCCAAACAAAATTGACATAGCTTATTGGTGACTTGTGACTTGCTTTTTAATATCTTAGTTCTAATTTTATAAAGCTAAGTCTAAAAAGTTTGAAAATTAGACTTGTGAAAAATTCACTCAGTTTTCATATCTATCTCTCTGTCTATCCAACTATATTTCACTGCCTTTTTTTTTTTGTTTTAGACAGAGTCTAGCTCTGTCACCCAGGCTGGAGTGCAGTGGCACTATCTTGGCTCCTGCAGCCTCCATCTCCTGGATTCAAGCAATTCTCCTACTTTATCCTCCCTAGTAGCTGGAATTGCAGGTATGCACCCCCACATCCAGCTAATTTTTATATTTTTCATAGAGACGGGTTTTCACCATGTTGGCCAGGCTGGTCTCGAATTCCAGACCTCAAGTGATCTGCCAGCCTCAGCCTCCCAAAGTGCTGGGATTACAGGCATGAGCCACTGCGCCCTGCCAATAGCTCACTGACTTCTATGGTAGGAGCTTGGAGGTTATGGCATTCAGTACCTAATGAAACATTTGTTGCTATATTTCAGTGGGTAAATTTAGGCTATGCAAAGAAAATCAAATGGATATTTTCTTGTAATATAAAAATTCAAATAAGTACAAGCCATCACTGGTCTGGAAGATGTTTCCTAGTTTATAAGGTAATAAAAAGAGTGCTTTATCATTCACTGTGAAATTTTTCCTGTGTCTATTGTCTTATATATCTATGTTTCTAAAACATATGGTATTGAAAGATTTGAGTTCTGATGTCAAATCTGACTCTTAGTCACCTGATGTTGATCTAATTATGTTCTAGTTTCAATCAGTTTGCTTATTTGTAAAATCTTCATGCTGCAGTTTGAGTGTTATTGTAGTGGAGGGTATTCACAGGTCAAAATACTTCTTCCTAACACATTGCTTTACATATTGGTCACATCTTTTTAAAACTAGTCTAAATAATATAGTGGTTATACTACAAAATGGTAAGTGAATATTTTAAAATATGTAATAAACACTCATATTCTCCAAATATACAGAAATTGTAATAAGATCAAAGCAAGTTAGAGCCACATTCCTATGAATTCAGCAAGAACAAATTATATATTTGCATTTGAAGGTGAAAACTAATGATATAAGTGTTATGCATTTCTATAATGACAGCATCTAAAACCTAATAATACAAATATATTGTCTATAAGAAATTTACCTACTGATATTGGAAAAGGTGACTACTAAAACCAACCCAAAAGGAATTATAAGAAGAGAGAATATACAAAAGTAGTGATAATACTAAGATCTTTTAGAATTTTCCGACTTTGCCACAGATGATTACTTAGTTCAGAAAGGCCAAGGATACATTCATGACCACGAGAGTTGTCTGGAGATGAAGGACCATTTGTTGACCAACTGTGCAAATTCATTCATGAAAGTGACAGCACTCTTTTTTCTCCCTAAGTCTTTGAATACCCTTTTATCTTAAAAAAGATGTCTAGAAATACATAAACTATAAAGAAAAGTATATTTTGGCAACACGAATACAGCCTACAACGATGAAACATGGAGAATATAGCCTCTATAAACATTCCTGTTACAAAAAGGAATAATGGGAGGCTTACAGCGGACAGTAATCTCTAGAAATTCTGAAATCTCACTGGGCAAATTTATTAGGTTCCTTACCTTGAGGGTAGAAAAGCCTATTTGGTTAGGCCCCATTTCTGTTTTCTTGGAAGGGATTTGCCACTTTACTTTTTATTTTTTTATGACTCCTGATTCTGCTGCTCAGGAACATTCTTTCTTTGTCCTCATTCTACTGGACCACTGCTGAAGAGGCAAAGAAGAAGATTCCATTCTTGGTAGCTGAGTAGAGTTCTCAGCCTGCTTCCTGTCTGTTGAAAGTTGAGGGACCAGAGATATTTTCATGATTGGAATGGTCATGGACTCTTAGGATCAAGTTGGTGGTGCATTTGAAAATACACCTTTTTCAAAAACTTTTAAAGTTTTCTGTGCATTTGATACTAACCAACTGCATTTATTAAAGCTGTACTTAGAATTTTTTGAGGTTTGTTTCTCTCATATATATAACCATAACCTATTTCAGTTCATTAAATGTTCTACTCATGCCATGTTTTTGTCATGGCAATAGCAGAAGCCCAAAAAAAGAAGCACATTTGTACAAATCTATCTCAAGACTCTGGTTTACGTCATATCCAGTAACATTACATTGGGTAAAAGTAGTTACATATCTATGAGCAATATCAGAGGAGCAGAAAAATATATTTTCCACATGTAGGTCAAAAGGGATATAGTGAATATTTGCAAAATGTTAATTCAATATACCAAACTCACCATAAGAGTGATAAGCAGGATATCACGGGAGTTCCAGAGCTGACAGAAAAAGCAAATATATTGAGTTGCCATAGAAATTCATTGAATTAAAGAGTTAAAAAAAAAAAAAAGAAAACACACACACACAGCCATTGAGTGATGTCACACTCACATCAGTCACGGTGATAAATTACACTCTGAAGACCAGAAATTAGTCATTTCTTATTGGCAATGGTGTAGGCATAGTGGAAAGAATAGAGTAAGACCAAATTTGAGTCAAATGGGGTGTGTAACCTCGCACAAATTATGAACCAATTTGTACCTAGTTCCTCTTTAGCTAAATAGGAGTAAATATTGCCTGGTTTACATAATAGATAAAGGTTTTATCTATCTCTTTACCTAAAGAGAAAACCTACATTTTTATCATTATTTAAATGTTATATCCCTATGATTCCTACTGTCAGCACACACATGTATCTGTATTTGTTTTTCTCTTCATTGAAACTAACAAAAAGGATCAGATTTCAAAGATAATTTTTGTTAACCCCAATAGATATAGTAATATGTACAGTTCTGATGATTAAAAAAAAGAAAATATTGTTATAAAGTCTTCTATAATCAGGAATAATTATTTCATGTAATGGTATATAAAATTGAGTACATTTTGGATTGTGATTTGGTAAATACCTCAAACACCACTAAGCATATTCAGACTGTATCTACAGTGAATATTTATATCAACTTTAATTGTCACACTGAAGATTGATTAAATAGGTTTTGGTTTATGTCCTTTCTCTAAGTGGAAAAAAGATCATTTTTATTAAACTGTGATTAAAAACAAAACTATGCACCCATTTTCATACAAAAGTTACAAAATCCTAGTGTATCAATCTGCATAATGCATTTTAGATACAATCCACTAGACAGCTGTATTAAAAGGGCAATTTGAGCACAGACCTAAATCATCCCTTCTTCTCTAAATGCTTAGTAATGCTATACAAAATGTACAAACACACATTAAAGTACATATTTGCATTTAATAAGAGAAAAGACAAAATGGAAAGGAAGCACCCTGTGGTGAGTAGGAGATGAGGCTTCTTTGTCTCAGGGATTCTGAGATCAGCATTGAGGGCTGGAGATTAAATGCCAAAGAACTGTCTGCAACAGATCTAGGTTTAGTATAGTATGAAGATGAAACTCTGGATCCATTTACATGTCTTGTAGGGAAGCTGGAGGTGAGGCTTAGACTTAGTAATTCTTAGGAAATCATTGCTTGCTTGGTTCTGGGATTGGAAATATTTTTTCTGAGACATGGCAGGATCATTATTCACTAAAAATTTTACAGCCTGTTTTCCTTGGAGAGCCCTCACAGCAGCAGTCAGAAAACCACTGATAGGGTAGTCTCACTACCCTCAGAAACCAGTCTTTTCATAACAAGAGATACTTGCAACAAATTCCAATGTCTAAAGATCTTACACACTATATCTCAGACCAGAATGAAATAAAAAGCAATGATGAACAACAAAATAAAAGCAAAATAATCAGTCAACCAAATAAGTGAATTTTTTTGTTTGTTTGAGACAGAGTCTCGCTCTATCGCCAGGCTGGAGTGCAGTGGCTCAATCTCAGCTCACTGCAACCTCTGACTCCCTGGTTCAAGCAATTCTCCTGCCATCAGCCTCCCGAGTAGCTGAGATTACAGGCACACGCCACAATGCCCAGCTAATTTTTATATTTTTAGTAGAGACGGGATTTCACCATATTGGCCAGGATGGTCTCAATCTTCTGACCTTGTGATCTGCCCACCTCGGCCTTCAAAAGTGCTGGGATTACAGGCGTGAGCCACCACGCCCAGCCAAGTAAAATTTTTAAATGTGTAAATACAACAGAAGAAGCTTCTAAACAGTCCGTGGTTTAAAACAAAAACAAAATTGTAAAACGTTTGCTTTATTTTCATTTTTTAAATGTTTATTCAGATTCATCATGAGCGGTATTTAGAAGTAAACTCACGGCCTTAATTCCATTTTTAACACATTTTAACACTGTATGAATATTTATAAATGAATTAGCTGACATTGTACTCACAGACCTAGAAAAAAAAGGCAGCAGAGTAAATTTTAAGAAAGAAAAGAAAATAAATTTAAAGTACTGAAATAGAATAGGGATAGACATGCAGATCAATTCAATAGAATTGAAGAGTCTAGAAGTAAAGCCACACATTTATTATCAATTGATTTTTCAACAAGAGTGCCAAGGCAATTAAATGAGGGAGACAATTATATTTTAAACAAATGGTACTGAGACAACTCTATACCCACACACAAAAATTTGAGTTTGGAATCTATCTTACACCATATACAAAAATTAGCTTATAAAGGATCAAGGAGTTAATGTAAGAGATAAAATAATACAACTGTTTGAAGAACGGAAATGTAATTTTCAAGATCCTGGTTTAGGCATTTTTTAAAAATACAACATTAGATGCACCCAAGTGTGATAAGGAAAAATAGATAAATTGAACTATATCAAAATGAGAAAATCTTGTGCTTCAAAGACATAATAAAGCAGCTTGGCATAGTGGCTTACACCTGTAATCCAAGCATTTTGGGAGGCTGAGGCAGGTTTTCTTAAGGCCAGGAAATTGAGAACAGCCTGGGAAATATGGTGAGACGCAACCTCTACAAAAATATTTAAAAATTAACCAGTCATAATGACATTTATCTGTAATCCTAGCTACTCAGGAGGCTAAGGTGGGAGGATCGCTTGAGCCTAGGCTTCTGAGGCTGCAATGAGCTATGACTGCACCACTGTACCTCAGTCTCAGCAAATAAGTAAGACCCTGTCTCTAAAAAAGTAAACAAATAATAAATAATTTTTTAAAAAAGTGAAAAGACACCTAACTATGGGAAAATATTAACAAATTATATATCTGATGAAAATCTGTATGTAGAATATATAAGAAACTTTTAAACTCAACAAAAAACACATGATGTCAATTAAAAAATGGGCAAAAGATATGAATAGTAATTTTTCCAAAGAAGATTTAAAAATGGCAAATAACCATATGAAAATGCTCAACATCATTAATAAGGAAATATGAATAAAAACCACAATAAGATACCACTTCACATTCAAAAAATGACTACAATAAAAAAGACAGACCAATCCCTAATGTTGGCAAAGATTTTGAGAAATTGGAACCCTCAAAACTTTGATGATGGGAATGAAATATAGTATATCCACTTTAGTAAATGTTTTGGCAGTTTCTCAAAAGGTTAAACATAGAGTTACTATATGACTCAGCAATTTCACTCTAAGATATAGATCCAAGAGAAATGAAAACATAGTTCACTCAAAAACTTGAATATGAATGTGCATACTGTATTATTTATAATAGTCAAAAAGTGCAGCCAACCCAAATGTGCATACACTTAACGATAGTCACAAGGTGGTACACCCTCCAGTGGAATTTTATTACCCCCAATAAGGAATGAAACCCTGATACATGCTATGACTTGGATAAACCTTAAAACATCAAGCTAAATGAAACAAATCAGCCACAAAATATGACAATGAATAATTCTACTTACATGAAAAATACAGAATAGCCAAATCTATACAGACATAGAGTAAATTAGTGTTTGCTTAGATGTGGGAGGGACAGGGAGAGGATGGAAAGTGATTAATAATGGTTACATGTTTTTTATAAATAGTAAAATGTTCTAAATTTAGATTGTAGTGATGGCTGCAAAACTCAATATGTAAAAGCTACTGAATTGTATACTATAAAGGTGAATTTTATGACATTAATATCTCATCATAGGTAGTTTTAAGTAAATGAAATAAAATACAAGCAGACACAATATAAATAATTTAGAAAACCATATTTATTATTTGAAAATACAAAATGATAAAATTCTGAAAAGACTCTTTGGTAATATAGGAGGGATGATGCATATTCTGTTCTTAGGTATGAAAGAAGTAACTTATCTGCAAATCATTTATATTAAAGAGAAAAAACTATACTTATGATGTTATTTTAAACCTTTATGGGTATAAAATTTATATAGCATGAAACTGACCCACCCATTTTATGAATATAGTTCAATAATTTTAACTGAATTTATAGTTTTAACACCATTAACATAATTCAGTTTTAGAACATTTCTGTAATGCCCCATCCAAATTCCCATGAGCCCAATTGCAGTCAAATCACACTCCGCCCTTAGTCCCAGGCTACTGATGATCTCCCTTTTTCATGTATAACTGTGCCTTTCCTGATATTTTATATAAATGAAATTATACATTATATGGTTTATGTGTGTATGGCTTTGTGTGTATTTGTGGGCATGCATTTAATTTAGCATAATATTTCTGAGGCTCATTTATATTTTAGCTTGTTTGTATTTCATTTCTTGTTATTGCTGAATGGTATTCCATGGCATCGATATGTTACATTTCCTTTATCCATTCTCCATGATGGATATTTGGACTATTTTTAATTTTGGCTATAATAAATAATGCTGCTATGAACATTTACATACAAATCTTTGTTGAATATAGGTTTTCCTTCTTGTTAGATTCCTTCTTAGATTCTTAGCAGTAAAATTGGTGGTTTTTATTTCTACTCATATGTAACTTTGTGAGAACTGCAAAAATGTGTTGTAGTTTCTCCACATCTTCACCAGCTTGTAGAATTAGCTGCCTTTTTATTACAGCCAGTGGGTGTGTCTCATTGTGGTTTTAAATTGTATTTCTGTAAGGACTAATGATCACAAATACTCTTTCATATGCTTATTGGTCATTTATATGTCTTATTTTTGTGAAATATTCAAATATTTTACTCATTTTAAGTTAGGTAGTTGGTCTTATTACTCAGTTGTAAGTATTCTTTATGTATTTTGGTTAAGAGCCTTGTATTAGATATACGATTTGCAGATATTTTCTCTCAGTCTATGAACTGTATATTTTTCTAAGTGTCATTTAGAGTGTAATTTTCATTTTTAAAAATAATTTTAAAACGTTTTAATTTTTGTGGGTACATAGTAGGTGTATATATTTGTGGGTTACATGAGATATTTTGATACAGACTTGCAATACATAATAACCACATCATAAAAATGGGGTATCCATCTCCTCAAGCATTTATCCTTTGTGTTATAAACAATTCAATTAGACCCTTTTAGTTATTTTAAAATTTACAATTATTGACTAAAGTTTACATGTTCTGCTATCAAATACTAGGTCTTATTCATTCTTTTTAACTATTTTTTGTATTTATTAACCATCTCCACCTCCCTTCACCCCTCCCATTACCCTTACCAGACTCTGGTAACCATCCTTGTACTCTGTATCTCCATGAGTAAAATTGTTTTGATTATAGATACTACAAATAAGTCATAACATGTGATGTTTGTCTTTCTGCGCCTGGCTTACTTCACTTAGCATACTGACCTCCAGTTCCCTCCGTTGTTCCAAATGACAGGATCTCATTGTTTTTGATGGCTGAATAGTACTCCATTGTGTATAATTACCACATTTTCTTTCTCCATTCATCTTTATCACATTTTCTTTCTCCATTCATCTGCTGATGGACACTTAGTTTGCTTCCAAATTGTGGCTATTGTGAACAGTGCTACAACAAACATGGGAGTGCAGATAGATCTTTGATATACCGATTTCTTTACTTTGGGTATATACCCAGCAGTGAGATTGCTGGATCGTATGGTAGCTCTATTTTTACTTTTTTGAACAACCTCCAAACTTTTCTCCATAGTAATTGTGCTAATTTACATTTCTACCAACGGTGTACAAGGGTTCCATTTTCTCAACATCCTTGCCAGCATTTGTTATTGCCTATGTTTGGATGTAAGTCATTTTAACGCAGGGTGAGATGATATCTCATTTTAGTTTTGATCTGCCTTTTTCTGATGATCAGTGATGAGCACCTTTTCATATACCTGTTTGCCATTTGCACTTCTTCTTCTAATAAATTTCTATTCAAATATTTTGCCCATTTTAAAATCAGGTTAGTAGATTGTTTTCCCTATAGAGTTGTTTGAACTCCTTATATATTCTAGTTGTTAATTCCTTGTCAGATGGGTAGTATACAAATATTTTCTCCCATTTGGTGGGTTGTCTCTTCACTTTTCTTATTGTTCCCTTTGCTGTGTAGTAGCTTTTTAACTTGATGTGATCCCATTTGTCCACTTTTGCTTTGGTTGCCTGTGCCTGTGAGTTATTGATCAAGAAATTTTGGCCCAGAACAATGTCTTGGAGAGTTCCCTTGATGTTTTCTTTTAGCAGTTTCATAGGTTGAGGTCTTAGATGTAAGTCTTTAATAAATTTTGATTTTATTTTTATATATGGTAAGAGATAGTGGTCTAGTTTCATTCTTCTCTATATGAATATTCAGTTTCCCCAGCATCATTTTATTAAAAAGACTGTCTTTTTCCCAGTATATATTCTTGGCACCTTTGTTGAAAATGAGTTCACTATAGGCATGTGAATTTGTTTCTGGGTTCTCTATTCTGTTCCATTGGTCTATGTGTCTGTGTGCCAGTGCCATCCTGTTTTAGTTACTATAGCTCTGTAGTATAATTTGAAGTCTGGTAATGGGATTCTCCCAGTTTTGTTTTTTTGCTTAGGATATGTGGGCTACTCTGGGTCGTTTTTGGTTCCACATAAGTTTTAGGATTTCTTTTCTATTTCTGTGAATAATGTCATTAGTATTTTGCTAGAGATTTCAATGAATCTCCAGATTGCTTTGGATAGTATGAAAATTTTAACAATATTGATTCTTCCAACCCATGAACATGGAATATATTTTCATTTATTGGTGTCCTCTTCAATTTATTTTATCAGTATTTTATAGTTTTCATTATAGAGATCTTTCACTTCTTTGGTTAATTCCTAGGTATTTAATTTTATTGGTGGCTGTTGTAAATGAGATTACTTTTTTGATTTCTTGTTCAGATTGTTCACCATAGGTGTATAGAAATGCTACTGACTTTTGTATGTTGATTTTGTATCCTGCAACTTTATTGAATTTATCAGTTCTAACAGTTTTTTGGTGAAGTTTTTAGATTTTTCCAAATATAAGACCATATCATCTATAAACAAGGACAATTAGATTTCTTCCTTTTTAATTTGAATGCCCTTTATTTCTCTCGTCTGATTGCTCAAGTGAGGTCTTCTGGTACTATGTTGAATAATAGTGGTGACAGTGGGAATTCTTGTCGTGTTCCAGATCTTGGAGGAAAGGCTTTTAGTTTCTTTTCATTCAATGTGATACTAGCTGTGGTTCTGTTATATATGGCTTTTATTATGTTGAGGTATGTTCCCTCTACACCCAGTTTTCTAGGGCTTTTATTATAAAGTGATGTTGAATTTTATCAAATGTTTTCTCACCATCAATCGAAATGATTATTAGTTTTTTTCCTCATTCTGTTGATATGATGTAGCACATTGATTGACTTGCATATGATGAACCACACTTACATCCCAGGGATAAATTCCACTTGTTCATGATGCATGATATTTTAAATGTATTGTTGAATTTTGTTTAGTAGTATTTTGTGTATTTTTGAATCAATATTCATCAGAGATACTGGCCTGTAGCTTTCTTTTTTTTAAATGTGTCTTCATCTAATTTTGGTATCAGACTAATACTAGTCTTGTAGAATGAATTTGGAAGTATTCCCTCCTCTTTTTTTTTTTGGAATATTTTGAGTATGATTGGTATAATTTCTTCTTTAAATATTTGGTAAAATTCTGCAGTGAAGCCATTGGGTCTCAGGATTTTCTTTACTGGAAGACTTTTGATTTACTTAGATCTTGTTACTTGTTATTGGTCTGTTCAGGTTTTGGATTTCTTCATGGTTCAATCTTTGTAGTTGTATGTACCTGAGGATTTTTACATTATTTACAGATATTCCAGTTTGTTGGCATATACTTGTGGTCAGAGAAGATGCTTGATATTATTTCTTTCTTTTTTAATGTTTTAAGACTTGTTTTGTAACTTAACATATGGTCTATTCTGGAGAATGATCCATGTGCCTAGGAAAAGGATTTTTATTCTGCAGCTGTTGGATAAAATATTCCATAAATATCTATTAGGTCCATTTGGTTTATAGTGCAGATTAACTCCAATGTCTCTTTGTCAATTTTCTGTCTAGAAGATATATCCAGTGCTGAAAGTGGGGTGTTGAAGTCTACAGCTATTATTGTATTGTGGTCTATATTTATCTTTAGCTCTAATAATATTTGTTTTATATATTTGGGTGCTCCAGTGTTGGGTGCATATATATTTATAATTTTTATATCCTCTGGTGAATTGATCCCTTTTCCCTTTATCATTATATAGTGACCATCTTTGTCATTTCATATTTTTTGCCTTGAAATCTGTTTAAGTACAGCTATTCCTCTTTTTTTTAGTTTTCATTGGCATGGAATATATTTTTCCATCCCTTTATTTTCAGTCTATGTGTGTCTTAATAGGCAAACTACATTTCTTGTAGGCAAAAGATCATTGGATCTTCTATTTGTATCCATTCAGCCACTCTATATCTTTTGACTGGAGAATTTAGGCCATTTACATTCAATGTTATTGATAAGTAAGAACTTACTACTGCCATTTTGCTGTTTTCTGGTCTTCTATTCCTTTTTCCTTGCTTCCTTGCTTCCTTTTAGTGAAGGTGATTTTCTCTGGTGATAGGATTTAGTTTCTTGCTTTTTATATTTTGTGTATATGTTGTATGCTTTTTGGGTTTAAGGTTACCATGATTCTTGCAAATACTATCTTATAACCCATTATTTTAAGCTGATAAAACACCATTTGCATAAACAAGCAAACAAGCAAAAAGAAAATTAATGATGACTGTATGCCTTAACTCCATTCCCCCACTTTTTAACTTATTATTTCTATTTATGTCTGATTGTATCATCTATATCTTGAAAAGTTGTTGTAGTTATTATTTTTCATTGATTCATCATTTAGCCTTTCTACTTAAGATAGAAATATTTTATACACCTCAGGTATAGTGTTACAATATTCTGTGTTTTTCTCTGTAGTTACTATTACCAGGCAGTTTTGCATCTTCACATGTTTTCTTATTACTCATTAATGTCCTTTTCTTTCTGATTGAAGTACTCCCTTTAGCATTTCTTGTAGAACAGGCCTGGTGTTGATGAAATTCCTCAGCTCTTGATTGTCTGGCAAAGCCTTTGTTTCTTCTTCATGTTTAAAGGATATTTTTGCTGAACATATTATTTTAGGGTAAAAGATTTTTTTCCTTCATCACCTGAGTATGTCATGCCACTCTCTCCTGGCCTGTAAGATTTCTAATGAAAGGTCTGCTGCCATATGTATTAGAGCTCCATTGTGTGTTATTTGTTTCTTTTCTCTTGCTGCTTTTAGAATCCCTTCTTTATCCTTGACCTTTGGGCATTTGATTACTAAATGCCTTGAGATAGCCTTCTTTGGGTAAAATCTGCTTGGTGTTCTATAACCTTCTTGTACTGGGACTCTGATATCATTCTTTCAGTTTTAGAAGTTCTCTGTTATTTTCTTGTTGAATAAGCTTTCCATCCTTATCATGTTCTCTACCACCCCTTTTAAGGCCAATAACTCTGAGATTGGCATTCTACTCTTAGCGCTGGCTTTCAAACCACAAGGCACATTCCTTCGCACCCATTCCCCTGCTTTTCAAAAGCAGAAGAGCCTCATCTTGTGGCCACCATCACCACAGGCCCATGGGGAGTATTGCTAGACTACCACTGATATTCCCTTAAGGCCCAAGGGCTCTTAAGTCAGCTTGTTGTGAATGTTGCCTGTCTTGGGACTCACCCTTTGGGGCAGTGGGTTCTCCTCTGGCCCAGGACAGGTCCAAAAATGCTGTGCAAGAGCCAAGTTCTGGAATCAGGGACCTAAGAGCCTGTCTGGTGCTCTACCTTTCTGTGGCCAAGCTGGTACCTAACATGCAAGACAAAGTCCCCTTTACTTTTCCCTCCACTTTTCTTAAATGGAGGGAGTCTCATCCCTTAGCCACCACAACTGGGAATGTGATTAGTCTCACTTGAAGGCAGCAAATCTCAGAGGCTCACCCGAGGCCCTCAGTGTAGTACTGGTATTGCTGCTGGTTATTCTGGGCCCAAGGACTCTTCAGTTAGCAGGTGATGAATCCTGTCATGACTTTGTTTTACTCTTCAAGGCAGTGGGTTCCATTCTTGTCCAGGCTGTGTCTAGGAATGTCATCTGGGAGTCAGGGCTTGGAAAGGGGGCCTCATGACTCTGATTGCTGCCCTATCCCACTTTGGCTGAGTTGGTACCCAAAATACAAGAAAAAGTCCACCCTACTTTTCCTGTCCTCAAGCAGAGGGAAGAGGTCTTTTTTGGAGCCATGAGGTGTACAGCCGGGGGTTAGGGGAGGAGTGATGACAGCACTCCCTTAGACACCCCAGCTGCTGTTTCAGTATGTCATGTGCCCCTGAGTCCACTGTCTATGAACCAAGTTCAGCACTAGGACTAAACTAGGATTTGCAGTCCCGGAGGCTGAAACTGCCTTTCAAATTTATTTAGGGCCCCAGCACAATTTAGCTTACAATGCTGAGGACTGCGGGAACTCAAGTTTGGACCGCTGGAATTGAAGATTCCTCTCTTGCTAGCGCTGGTTTAAATGCTCCCTCCATAGGCAGGTATCACCTGATTTGGGTCAGATTTTGTTTTCTGCTGTAAAGGGCAGCACTGAGTTTAATGCCTCACAATTGCTGCAATCTCCTTCCCCCCATTGCACAAAAATGCTCTCCGCACCATGCCATGGCTGCTGGGGGATAGGGAAGAGGTTGCATTGGTAATTCAACACTGTTTTTCCTACCTCTTCAGTACCTCTCTCAGGGATAGGAAATTAAAACCAGGTACTGTGAGTGCTCATTTGATTTTTAGTTCTTATGAAGGTGATTTTTAGTTGTTAAATCAGTGTCCTTGCAGGGCAGTGGGAGGGACAACCAGTGGAATCTTCTATTCTGTCATCTTGCTCTGCCTCTCCTACTTAAGTACAATTTTGTTTGTATTTTAATAAAGTCCAATTTATAATTTTTTATTTATCGTTCATACTTTTGGTGTTGTATCTAAACTCCTTGTCTAATTCAAGTTCAAGATGATTTTCTTCTATGTTTTCTTTTTAAAAGTTTGCAGTTTTAGTGCTTATATTTAGAACTATGATCTACCTTGAGTTAATATTCATGTATGGTGTAAGGGTAAGATATATATATATTTTTGTTTGTTTGTTTGTTTTTGCATGTGGGTATCCATATGTTTCAGCACAACTTGCTGAAAAATTATTCTTTCCCATTAAATTATCTTGCTACCTTTGTTAAAGATTGGCTAACCATAAATTAGAGTTTATTTGTAGACTATCAATTCAGTTTCATTAATCTATGTGTTCAATTCTTTGCCAGTATCGCACTATCTTAATTACTATGAATTTAGAGTATTATAACCATGTAGTATAAGTCATCTACCATTTTTCTCCTTTTTAAATATTTTTTTAATACTCTGGGTCCCTTGGATTTCTATATACGTTTTAAGATTAGCTTGTCAATTACTCCAGAATATACAGCTATTATTTAGATAGGAATTTAATGAAATCTGTAGACAATTTGGAGAGGATTGCTATTTTCATTATAGTAGTTCCTATATTTCGTGAAAATAGACAGTCTCTCTGTGTATTTACATCTGCTATAATTTTTCTCAGCACTATTTTATAGTTTTAGCATATAAATCTTACACTTCTTTATTAAATTTATTCCTAAATATTTATTCCTTTTTATGCCATTGTTAAATTGTTTTCATAGTTTCATTTCTCAGATTGCTTTGACTAGTATATCACTTATTTTGAACATATAAATGGTCAATTTCCTAGAACAAGAAATTCAATATTCTGAGACATGCATATAAATATTTATAAAAGTATATTATAATTAAATTATAATTAAACCTATTGATTTGGAGATGTGTCATTTGGGTGAATATTCTTGCAATGAGTATTTTCATTCTGTTTTCTTCATTTTCATGTGATCTTTGTTTTACCTCTAAGATATTTCTCCTTTTTGTTTCTGTTCCCAATTATAAGAGTATTTCATAAAGAAAAGGTAGACATATACATTTGATGAGGCTGTAATACAGCTTTCTTATTTTACATGGATATCAACTCTACCTGCCATCAATCCTGCTAACATAAAATCATATCCCTATAATTGCTAAATTCATTCAAGCAGAGAGAATTCTAACTGTCCTAAGCACTTTTCCATGTCTCAACCTGAGACTTTTACTTTGGGACTATTACAGGAGAACAGTTCTTTTTGGTAAAAACCTTACAAATGTAATAGGTAAAGAACTACTTTGCAAATGGAACTACCAGATAAAATATACTGAAGAAAAACTATTTTTAGAAGTCTCAGAAATTTTTTCAACATATGATTAAATTGCAGCTAATTTGGAAGTCAGTAGACTTACACTATATGTAATTCAAGAAATAACCAAAGCATTTGCTATGGTCTCAGAATCCCTACAAGCAAAAATTTCCAAGACTTAGGCAGAATAATTGGAATAGAGCCCTTAAGAGTCCAATTTAATATTTTTAAACTGCTACTTAAAATTTCTCAGTATCTTTTAAAAACTGAAGGCAAGGAAGGTCTTCAGAAAACAGTAACCAGAAAAGAAAATCTAGAAAAGTACTAGAAAAAATATATATATATATATATTCCTTGTACCAGCCCCTGTAACATGTTAAGCTTTTGTAAAATAATCTAATATTCAAGAATATAGACTTGTCAAAGATATACAGAACAATTAACAAATTAACAAATTAACAATTTCTTCTCCAAACCTAAACATAGCGTGCTTGTTCCATATTTATACAAATTCTTTACTATAATAGATTGTATGCTCAGCTTTTATTAAGGTTTTTATTAATAAGTATACTTGTTTTCACTTGGAAGAAAAGTCAGCAGTTAACCTGGATAGTTATTCCCTTGGAATGTATGAAGTCCTTTGCTATTTCTTCCAAGTCTCATATAAAACATTTAAATGCTCTGATCCAAAATATTGATGACTTTTGAAAATGTTTTACTGATTTGGACAGTTCAGCATTGATTTTATCTACTTACTGATATACGGGCACAGAGCTTCTGTTTTTTTAATTTGGCAGATAGCATTATATGTTTTTATTGTCCAATAGAGCTTTTAAGAAAATTTTTGAAACTCCATTTCTGGTAGCCAACATCTTGCTTTCTCAGTCTCCATCCTGCATTGAAGGAAGGGCATTACCTAAAGAGAGATCACATATAATTCAAAATTATTCAAGGTGGGCCAACTATTTATTATAAATGTGAACGTCAAACATTTCTGAACTAGCAATTCCTCTTTTTTATTTTACTAAATTAAACATCAGAGAACTAATTCCATAGAACTCAGAAACCTAAAATACCATCATTAATATCAAAATGTCTCTAACATCCACTTATAGTCTCTCTCGATCATAAATCTCATTTTTATAAGTAAATAAAAAGTCACATCTTACTCTGAGAGAATTTACTTAATTTACTTAACAATAGAGAACTGTTTTATTTAATTTACTCAACAATAGAGAATTTTACATAATTTACTTAACAATAGATTTAACAATAGATTAACTTAAGTAATTAATTTACTTAACAATAGGGAATTTACTTAATTTACTTAACAATATGTCATACATAAAAGACCTATAAGCCACTATTAGCCTATCCTTAAATCCAGGAGGGAAGGTTGATCCTTTTTACTATGTTTCTTAAATATGCTGCTTTGTTGTTGCTTTTCTATATATCCTTGTAAAATGTTTGGCTTTCAATGATGAAGGCAACATTTTTAGTCTCTCCAGGCAAAAAGATGACATAACTTTTATAACTTGAAACAATTAGATCTCATCGTACTCTCACATATTGAACCAGTTCTGTCTGCGTTACTGAAATAGGCTCAACTTGGTCATATGTGTAACTTTAAAATATATTTTTGGGTATGATTTGGTAATATTTTGTTGAGAGTATTTTTACATATGTTAATGGGAAACATTAGTTTATAGTTTTGCTTTATTGTAATTTTTATCTAGCTTTGGTATTAGGGTAATGTTGACCTCATGAGTTATTTATGTTTGATTTAATTTCTTATGTTTGAGTGTGTAAGTACATGTATTAGTCCATTGCTGCACTGCTATAAAGAAATACCTGAGACTGGGTAACTTATAAAGAAAAGAGGATTAGATGGCTCAAGGATCCGCAGGTTGTACAGGTAGCATGGCTGGGGAGGCCTCAGGAAACTTAGAATACTGGCAGAAGGCAAAGGGGAAGCAGCTCGTCTTATATAACTGGAGCAGCAGGAAGAGAAAAGGGGAAGGTGCAACACTGTTAAACAACCATATCTCATGAGACTTACTATTAACAGAAAGCAAGCGGGATATTTGCTCCCATGATTCAATCGCCTCTCATCAGGCCCTTCCTCCAACATTGAGGATTACAGTTTGACATGAGATTTGGTGGGGGGACACAAATCCAAACCATATCATTATGTCTCCTTGTATGAGTTTTGATAGTTTGCATCTTTCAAGAAATTGGACTATTTCACCTAGGTTATCAAATTTGTAAGCATAGCATTTCTCAAAGTATTCTTTTATTATCATTTTACTGTCCAGGGTATGAGTAGTAATGTCCCATTTCACATCTTATATTTGTAATTGTATCTTCTCTCCTGTTTGTTTGCTTTTAACTTGGGTAGAATTTTATCATTTTATTGATCATCTCAGAGAACCAACTTTAGACTCTGTTAAAAGTCAATGTAATTTATCACGTCAGCAGCCTGAAAAAGAAAAATTACATGATCTTATCAATAGATAGAGAAAAAACATTTGACAAAATCCAACAGCCATTTGTGATAAAAATTCTCAATAACTTGTATTATAGAGAAACCTCCTCTAATTGATAAAGGACATCTACAAAGAACCTATAGCCCACATTATACTTGACAGTTAAAAAACTGGGCAATTTTCCCTACTATTGAGAGAAGGCAAGGATATTATTTTTTACCACTCCTATTCATCATTGTACTATCCTAGGGAGTGCAATAAATTAAATTGTACTAGAATTCTATTGAATTGAATCCTAGATAGTTCAATAAGACAAGGAAAGGAAATAAAAGGTATACAGATTGTCAGGGAAGAAACATAAGTTTCTGTGTTCACAGATGACATGATTGTCTATGCAGAAAATATCAAAGAAAAGACCAAAATAATTCTGGAAGTAAGACGTTGGTCTAGCAAGATTGCAGAACATGAGTTTAGTGTATAAAAGTCAAATGCTTTCATATATGTCAGCAATGGCGATTAAAATTTAAAGTAAGATATACATTTATAATAATTAGAAAAGAAATGAATGCTTAGGTATAATCCTAATGAAATATATACAGATTATATGCTGAAAACCACTGTACTCTGATAAAATAAATAATATCTAAACAAATGGGGATATGATCCATGTTTGGATTGAGAGACTCAATATTGCTAGGGTGTCAATTCTTCTCAACTTGATCTATAGATTCAGAGTAATCACAATAAAAATCCTGGCCAGCTATTTTGTTAGTAACCACAAACTGATTTCAAGGTTTACATGGAGCACTTTGGGATGCCAAGGTGAGAGGATTGCTTGAGCCCAGGAGTTTTAGACAAGCCTGAGCAACATAGTGAGACCTCATATGTATAAAAAATAAAAAGCCCCAACAGGCTTGGTGGTGAACACCTGTGGTACTAGCCACTCAGGATGCTGAAATGGAGGATTGCTTGAGCCCAGGAGGTCAAGACTGCAATGAGCCGAGACAGCCCCTGTACTCCAGCCTAGGTGACAGAGCTCTTGCTCTGTGTTAAATAAATAAATAAATAAAATTTACATGGAAAGGCCAAAGACCTAGACTGAGCAGTACAAAAATGTTGCAGGAATCATACCACCAGATTTCAAAGCTTACTGTAAAGAAATAGTAATCAAGACTGTGTAGGATTTGTGAAAAACTACATAACTATATCTATGAAACAGAATAGAAAACATATAAATAGACCTAAACAGATAGTAAACTGATCTTTGAATTTGGGGCAAAGATAATTTCATGGACAAAGGATGATCTTTTCAACAGGATACTGGAAGAATTAAATGTTGAAAGAAGGAAGGATGGGAGGAGGGAAGGAGAGATGGAGGGAGAGAGAAAGGAGGGGAGGGGAGGAAGGAAGAGAGGGAGGGAGGGAGGGAGGGAAGAAGGCAGGCAGGCAGGAAGGAAGTCTTAGACCGTACACCTTTCTCAAAAATTAAAATAGATCATGAGCCTAAATATAAAGTGAAAAGCTATAAAATTTATAGAATAAAATACATAAAATGTACATGAATGTGGGTTTGATAATAATTTTTGATACAATATCAAAA
The DNA here is from genome assembly GCF_000001405.40 of Homo sapiens. NCBI lineage: Eukaryota > Metazoa > Chordata > Mammalia > Primates > Hominidae > Homo > Homo sapiens. The sequence continues at coordinate 22,063,513 of NC_000002.12, read as the reverse complement.
GAATGACTGTAAAAATTGATAAGTTAGATTTTATTAAAGTTAAAAGCTTCTTTTCTGCAAAAGCTTCTGTTAAGAGAATAAAAAGACCAAGCCACAAACTGGGAGAAAATATTTCCAATACATAGATCTGTTTTAAAGGGCTTGAATCTAGTAAATACAAAGAACTCTTAACACTCTTAGTTTTATTTTTTTAGTTATTAGTTGTTTATTTTATTTTAGCTATTAATTGTTTATTTTATTTTCAACTCTTAGTTTTAAGAGTTGAAAAATAAACGACCTAGTTAAACAATGGGTGAATCATCTGGACTGATACCTTACCAAAGAAGACATTCAGACAGCATGTAAACACATGAAAAGATGCTTAATTTCTCATTTTAAAATTTAAATTAAAACAACAATGAGATTCTTATTGCATATTCATTAGAATGAATAAAAATCAAATAAACAAGCCAAGTAAAAACACACTAATTAGGTAATATTAGCAATTGTTGGCAAGTGCAGATCAACAGGAACCCTGATTGCTGGTAGAAATTCAAAATAAGAAAGCCTCTTCGGAAGACACTTTAACAGTTTCTTACAAAGCTAAACATAGTCCCACCATAGGATTTAGCAATTCTAATTTTAAGCATTTGCCCATGAGTTGAAAACTTATGTTCTCACAAAAACCTGTATGCAAGTGTTTATAGCAGTTTATTCATAAATTCTCCAAACCGGAAGCTACAGATACTCTCTTCAATGGGCGAATGGAAAAACAAAGGATGGTACATCCGTTCAATGAAATATTCTTCCATGATAAAAATAAATGAGGTATCAAGTCATGAAAATACATGGATGTTAAATTCATATTGTTAAGTGAAGTAGCCAGTCAGAAAATGTACATATTGTATAATTCCATTTATATGACATTCTGGAAATTGCAAAACTATAATGCAGTTGCAAAATCAGTGATTGTAGGGGCTGAAAAGGATGCAGTGGAGGTTTGAATTGCTGAAGCACAGGGAATTTTTTAGGGCAGTGACACTATTCTATATGATACTGTAAAGTTGGCTACATGCCATTAAGCATTTCTCAGTTCTTAGAACTTAAGATAAAAAAAAATGAGCCTTACTATATGCAAATTGAAAAAACTATTTATGCACTTAGGGTGTCCCAGAACAGAATGCAGAATGTAAAAAAAAAAAAAAAAGCCGTTTAACTGTTGTCTTAGTCTGTTTTGTGTTGTAAGAATAGAATACCTGAGACTGGGTAATTTACACAGAAATGAAGTTTATTTAGCACAATTCTATAGGCTGGAAAGTTCAAGGGCAAGGCTTTGAACTTGGTGAGGGCTTTATGCTGCATCACAAAGGCAGAGAAGGTGAACTAGGAGAGTTGGAGACATCTGTATAAGTTTATGTTTATACATATATAAACATAAAGATAGATAAATTTATCTTTATTTTATTTTTTAAAGACAGGGTCTCTCTCTGTTGCCCAGGCTGGAGTTCAGTGGCACAATGATAGCTCACCGCAGCCTCAACCTCCTGGGCTCAAGTGTTCCTCTCACTTCAGCCTCCTGAGTAGGACTATAGGCACATACCACCATACCTGACTAATTAAAAAACAATCTAGAGACAGGCTCTCACTATGTTGCCCAAGCTGGTCTTGAGCTCCTGGCCTGAAGCAATCCTTCCGTTTCGGCCTCCCAAAGTGCTGGGATTACAGGTATGAGCCACTATGCTAGACCTATAGGAGTATTCACAGATATGTGCAAATGCAAACATTAGTATACACATACACATGTTTTCATTTTCTCAGCTGATAGTGCCTAGAAGCAACCAACACCTCAATAGCCATGCGCATATTAAGTGCCCAGATCTTGGTTTCCGAAATGTTTCTCCAATAAAAGGAACCAGTGTTCCAAGTGGATCCTTGGAGCAGTGGCTGATTCTAGGAATGAGACAAGATACATACACACACACACACACAAACACACACACATGCATATGTACATATACATATATACACACACATACGTATATAAAAATGTGTCTGTGTGTGTGTATGTGTATATAGAGAACCCTATTATCTTGTAATGCCAGAAAGTGAGGCAATGCTTAAAAACAAACCAAAAAATGAAGAAACAGAAAATCAAAGCACAAATAAAAGTAATAGGTGTATAACAAAGGGACATAGGAGCCAAATGAAAAAGCTCTTAATGGCCAAAGATGGAAACAAAATAGTAACTAAACAAGTAAAGTAGCATTGACTAATAACCTAAAGTATAAGATAATTATCCACAGACTTCTTTTTTAAAATTTCACTAGCTTTAGGGGTAGAAAGTCATTTCTGGTTACACAGATAAATGTTATGGTCATGAAGTCTGGGCCTTTAGTGTACCCATCCCCTGAATAATGTGCATTGTACTCAACATGTAATTTCTTATCCCTAATCCCTCATCCACCATTCCCACCTCTGAGTCTCTAATGTCCATTATACCACTCTGTAAGCCTTTGTGTACCCATAGTTTAGTGTGAGAACATGCAGTATTTGGATTTCTGCTCCTGAGTTATTTTGCTTAAGATGGTGGCCTCCAGTTCCATCCAAGTTGCTGCAAAAGACATTCTTTTATTCTTTTTTAGGATAAGCAGTATTCTGTGGTATATATACCACATTATCCACTCATTCATTGATTGACACTTAGGTTGATTCGATATCTTTGCAATTGTGAATTGTGGTGTGATAAACATATGGGTACAGGTGTCTTTTTTATATAATGATGTCTTTTCCTTTGGGTAGATATCTAGTAGTAGAATTACTGGTTAGAATGGTAGATCTACCTTAAATTATTTGAGAAGCCTCCCTCTGTTTGCAATAGAGGTTGTACTAATTTACATTGCCACAAACGGGGTATAAGTCTTCCCTTTTCACTGCATCCACTCCAAAATTTTTGTGTTTTTTTTTTCTGACATTTAAACAATGGCCATAATGACTAGGATAAGGTGGTATCTCATCGTGATTTTAATTTGCACTTCCCTGATGATTAGTGATGTTGATTTTTTAAATATATATTTCTTGTCCATTTGTATATTTTCTTTTGAGAAATGTCTATTCATGTCGTTTGCCCACATTCATTCTGATATAAATAAATAATGAAGTAAATTAACAAATAGGTGAGAAGACATACATCTCCAAAAAAAAAAATCAAAATTATTTGTGTAGATACTCTTCCCTTAATGAAGTAGAATGAAACTTGCCACTCTAAGAATGAGCTGAGCATAGCAACTTCATTTCAAAGAGTACAGTATGAAAATGGGGAGAATCCCGATAAACACTACCTCAGCCAGGTAATCTAGGTTTATATCACCTAACCTTGGTAAATCATCCTGATAGTATGTACCCTTAATATAAAGTGATAAGAATGACACTTTATCTTTGTGATCTTCCTCCATAAAATGTAGAACATCAAGCGAATCCAATTGAAGGACATTTCACCAAAATGCTTGATCTCTCCTCCTCAAAACTGTCAAGGTCATCAAACACAAGGAAAGTCAGAGAAATAATCACAGTCAAGAAGACCTTATGGAGATATGATGAATAAATATAACATATCAACATAGGATCTGGAATTGAAAAAGATATTAGGTGAAAACTTTAGAAATGTGATCAAGTTATATACTTTAGTTAATTATAATGTATCAATATGGTACTTTGGACAAACGTACCATACTAAATATAAGGTGTTAATAACGAAACTAGATGCAGGATATATGGAAACCTCTGTATAATCTAATTAATTTTTCTGTAGATCTAAAAGTGTTCAAAATATATAAAAAAATAGCCTTCAATGAAATGCCAATAGTCATTTAGAGAGCGAAATGCCATTTGTCAATAGTGAACAAAACATTAAAACACTTAGAAATGATCATACCTATAAGTAATTGAGTCATAAATAAAGGAAACTATTTGGAAATATAAGAAATTGAGGAATTTGGAGTCAGCATGGTGTATTTTACACACATTTTTAGTGTGTAAGCTATAAAGACCAAAGAGAACAAGAGAGGAAGGTACAGAAGTACAACATCTTAACAAAATTCTGAAGCCATATGCACATGTTATGCTGAGGATAGTTTTGTACACACTCCATAAAGTTGATGTTCAGTTTGTCTGAAGAGGATGGGGATGAGGGATGAAAATTATCTCTGGAAACTTCAGGGAGATATTGGCAGTGTATGGGTCAATTTAGGGATAGAATGCCACATAAGCTTTAGTTACAAATATGTTTGTCTCTAAATTAAATAAAATCAGTTTCTATTCTTTCTTAATATAAAAATAGATACATTTCATAAGAAATCAGTTTGTATAGGACCCAAACAGGATTACACAAACAATGTAAATTAAAATCTCAGTGAAATTGATTTTTTCTCTTTCGTATAAATCACAAAAATCTCAGTATTCTAAGACCATGTTTTTAATGACTAGACTGTGCTTAAGGTGAGGGTTGCTACCTTTGATACCTTTAAGTTGTATATTTTGAAAGCTAAAATAGGTTTTCAAGATTGATTAGAAGGGAATGTTAAGTAAAATATTGCCTGAAACCAAATATTTAGGCTTTTAAGTAATTGTTTTCTTGATTTTTTTTTTTGTTTAAAGGTGAATCGAATTGTCACTACAGAACTATGCTTTTTATTTTCTCTAGAATGAACCTTGGTAGTTCCACAAAAACTACTGAGAGCTTTTAAAGAACAAGAGAACTGCATGTCTCCAGGGACTTGCCAGCACTTAGTATTGCTTGTTTTCTGTTCCCTTTGTTTTCAACGAGAAACAAACTTCAGATTTTAGACAAGAAATGTAGTCTTCATTAAGTTCGAGCCTATGTGGAAAACAAAAGAAGCTAGAAACTTTCTTAGGGACTTTTAGCCAATGGAGAGCAATGACAGGGAAGTGGGAAGTTTTGGTTGGGAACAGGGGATTCTAAATGCTAGAGCTAGGTGATCTGACTGTGTAGAGGCTGTGTACTCAGGGAAAGCCTTATGGAGAAGTTAGAAATGAAAGTAAATCTGGAAAATTAGAGCCCAAATTATTTTTCTATATATTATTCACTGCCCTAAAAGACTATACATAAAGTTAAATAAAAGTCATGCTTTTTGGAGTCTGCTACCAGGTGTCATACGCAGTGGGTGAGTGGGCCTCAGTAAAGTTGGCTTAATCCAAAGAATATTCTATTTCACAGTCTATTATGTCAGAGGCATTTGAACCAGAGCAACTCCATCTTGAATAAGGTCTGAGTAATATAAGGCTGAGATCTGCTGGGCTGCATTCCCAGGAGGTTAGACATTCCTAGTCACAGGATGAGATAGGAGGTCAGCACCAGATAGAAGTCTTAAAGACCTTGCTGATAAAACAGGTTGCCATAATGAAGTTGCCCAAAACCCACCAAAACCAGGATAGCGATGAGAGTGACCTCTGGTCTTCCTCACTGCTCATTATATGCTAATTATAATGCATTGGCATGTTAAAAGACACTCCCACCAGTGCCATGACAGTTTACAGATGCCATGGCCACGTCAGGAAGTTACCCTGTATGGTCTAAAAAGGGGAGGAACCCTCAGTTCTGGGAATTGCCCATCCCTTTCCCAGAAAAATCATGAATAATCCACCTCTTGTTCAGCATATAATCAAGAAATGACTATAAGGATCTTTAGGCCAGCAGCTCAAGCCGCTGCTCTGATGGAGAAGCCATTCTTTATTCCTTTACTTTCTTAATAAACTTGCTTTTACTTTACGGATTTGCCTCAAATTCTTTCTTGCATGAGATCCAGGAACCCCTTCTTGGGGTCTAGATAGGGACCCCTTTCCAGTAAAAATTATATTTATGTAGTATGTTTATAAGTTATAGCACACCTTCACATATGAGTTTATTTCTTCATTTTAAACAAAACACTCCTCTTTTTCCTTGCCTTAGCTAAATCTTGAATGTAAACTTCTTGTCTTCATTTTTTAATTTCAATTTACATCTAAACATACCACCCATTGAATCAGTGAAACTGACATATTAAATGTTATATCTAATGGCTTCTTCTCAAACTTCATCCTACTTGACGTCTCTAGAGAATGTGATACCATCACAAGGCCCAGTCTATCTTCATATAACTCTGAGCTTTTGAGTCACGGATCCCTTTTCTCTCTTTGGCCGCTCATTTTCAATCTTCTTGCCCTCTATTTGTATTTTATTTTTATATATTAAATTTTAGATTTCATAATCCTTTATTCCCTTTCCTTATTGTCCTATATTCATCTGGCTTTAAATACCACCTACGTGCCCGTGTTCTGAATCTCTCGCTTGAGCCCAGATTTCTCCCTGTCTTCCAGAACCTTATTCCCACAACCCACGAACATCTGACCTTGGATGTCACATAGTGCCTTCATGTACACCACGGTCAAAAACAAAATCATCATCTTTTCTAAGAAGACTGTTGCTTTTACCTCTAGACTAAGACATGAGCTAATCATTCACCTGGAAATCACTGGGTTATCCTGGTCTTTTCCTTGTGTTACACTTTTTCACATAATTCGTTACTGAGTCATAGTGGTTCATGTGAGTTACAGAGCTGCTCAGTCAGCTCCCCCTTTTTTACCTCTCCCACTGGCACTCTTCTGGTTTAGGCCCTTTTTGGGGGTCAGCAACTGATACCCCAAAATATAGCACTTGGATATGCCAGACTAAAGAAGCAATCTCAAGGTCTCTCTGACCATTCCTGCACCTCTTCAGACTTTCAATTCTCCGTCTCGCTCAAAGAAACCAACGAAATACTGAAATTCCCTTATCTGACTAAAGCACAGACCTTCTAAAGAAGAGAGCAATTATCTCTGGTCTCTTCCCTGAGTTCTTGCTTACTTAACTCATATCATGAGAAGACTGAGGTCTGTTAATACACTTGTACAGTCTTTTGTCACCAACCACTGTCTTGCAGTCTCATTCAATATTTCAAAGAGAATCATTTACCAGCCATTATCTGCTCTGCAGGCTCAACAGACTTTGATCTAGGCCATTGCATATTCTCCAAATCCATTCATTACTATCCTTCAAATTGCCAAATTTTCCCCATTTCTCCTTGCCTTATGAGGAAAGGTATATAAACATCTGTACCCCATTGAGTTTTGGGTAATCATTCTTCTGTGATCCTCCCACAACCACCAATGTTAAAATTAATTTGGTATGCCTTTTCTCCTATTAATCTGCCTTTTGTCAGCTGATTTTCAGTGAACCTTCAAAGAGTGAAGGGAACATTTTATTTGGCTCCAAAACTTCCTTACTCTCTTAGAGTATTCTAATTCATTTCCTTGCCTCCTTTCATAGAGTTTTTCTAAAATGAAAACGTACCATATGATTCAAATCTTGATAATATTTCTCTTCTCATTGATTACAGGAGAAAGTATATCTTTCTCGGTCTCATGAATGGAGCCAGTTATAGTCAGGCTGGAACTGGGCCCCTGTTTACCTTCAGTTAGTCTCTACTGAACTTTAGACCTCGCTCTCTGTATGTCCCTCATATTGCGAAATGGTTTTGGTTGCTGATATCACTCAACAGGTGAAGTCTCATATTAACACACTTCTCTTTCCTCTTGTCACTCCTACTACAAAAAATTTAATCATTCATTTCATGTGCTCTCAAAGCTTTTCATAAAAGCTCCTTTTCCCTATCAATTCTTTTCCATCATACTGCTTTTGGAATTACACTTTTACACATTCCAGCTCTCTAACTAGCTCTTTGACCTATTCTCTATTGACTGGAAAAAAAAAACCAAAACGAAATTGAGAGCAAAGACACTTGCTTGTGTATATATGTGTGTGTATATATATATAGATATATACATATATGTATATATAATATATATGTGTATATATGTATATATATGCATATCTATATATATCTAGATATATCTATATATAATATATATCTAGATATATATCATATATATCTAGATATATAGAGAGTATATATCTAGATATATATCTAGATATGTAGATATAGATGGGGAGCTGCTGGCCTAAGGAAACTTATAGTCATTTCTTGATTTTTATATATATGCGTATATATACGTATATATGTGTATATATACGTATGTATATGTGTATATACACGTATATATGTACGCATATACGTATATACACGTATATATGTACGCATATACGTATATACACGTATATATGTACGCATATACGTATATACACGTATATATGTACGCATATACGTATATACACGTATATATGTACGCATATACGTATATACACGTATATATGTACGCATATACGTATATACA